>NC_000004.12:109981987-110133502 GCF_000001405.40 Homo sapiens
TGGCATGTTCATGGCTCACTGCAGCCTTGGCCCCACCCAGGCTCAAATAGCTGGGACCCTACCTTAGCCTCCTAGTAGCTGGGACCACAGGCATGCACCACCATGCCTGGCTAATTTATTTTTATTTTTATTTAATTTATTTAAATTATTAATTATTAATGTATTTAAATTATTAATTTATTTTATTTTATTTTTATTTTTTGTAGAGACAAGGTCATGCTATGTTGCCTAGGCTGGTCTTGAACTTCTGGCCTCAAGTGGTCTTCCCACCTCGGCCTCCCAAAGTGCTGGGATTATAGGTGTAAGCTACCCTGCCCAGCCAATTTTTTTTTCTTTTTCTTTTTCTTTTAATTTTTTTGAGACAGGGTCTTGCTCTGTCACCCAGGCTGGAGTGCAGTGGCAAGATCTCAGCTCACTGCAACCTCTGCCTCTAGGGTTCAAGAGATTCTCCTGCCTCAGCCTCCCGAGTAGCTGGGATTACAGGCGTGCACCATCATGCCCAGCTGATTTTTGTATTTTTAGTAGAGACAGGGTTTCACCATGTTGGCCAGGCTGGTCTCAAACTCTTGGCCTCATGTGATCCACCCGCCTTGGCCTCCCAAAGTGCTGGGATTACAGACATGAGCCACCGTGCCCGGCCTTTTTTCTTTTCTTTTCTTTTCTTTTTTAATATGAGTGTGTGGCAGTGAAGAGCTCAGCTACTGGTAGAGTTTGCTGTCATTTCCTTTTTCCATACTAAGACACCAGCTGTTGCCCACATTCCTTTTGCCATATCAGTACAAATGTGAACATGGTGGAAAAAGGCAGTTAACTTTATAGTATTATTATGAAAAGAATTATGACTTTAGGGACATTCTGAAGGATGAGCCCAGGGTTCTGTGGATCACAGTTTAGAAAACTGCTGTCTTACAGAATCCATTTCTCCCCTGTTCTGAGAGTGGGCAGTGCGAGAATCTTATGCCTGTATTAAATCATGACTTTTTAATGTCCTTTCATATTATAAGATGTAGGTAAAATCAGGCTAAAATAAGCATGAAAGCAGCATAAAGGAGGAAGCATGTGTATGGAAGACAAGTTGGGAAGATCATCTATTTTGTCCTTAATAACCGTGGGCTGTGATTATGAGCTGATCATGTCCCTGAGGGTTTTGGTATTTTACTCTTGTTTTTTGCCAGTACCTGAAAGAGTCCTATCTTTCTTCCGTACTGGTTCCTTATCCCCCGAATCATTAAGTGCTCAGTGAAAATGAGAGGGTGTGGGATAGCAGGGTGAGGTTTACTAAGTTACCAAGACCCTGACAGTTTCTCTGAATCCTCTTACTGTAAGAATGAGTCTGAACTCACAACCAATGAATAGTCGTAAACATAAATGAAATCAAACTTTTTTTTTGAAACAGAAAAGCTAAATTTAATTGCATCTATTGACCTTCAATAGGTGGTGAAGTTGATCTAAAGAACCAAGTAACACCATTGGACATCTTGTCCAAGACTAGAGTGTCAGAAGATAACATTACAGAATCTCAACACATGCTAGTGGCTGAAATCATGGTGTCAGGTATGAATAACTAGTTCTCCAATATACCTTTGGTTCCAACAGTTTCCATCCTACCAATGAGAAATTTTGAATTACCTTTCTAACTTAATATTGCCTAAGTTCTACACAAGGCTAATGAAACCAAACCTTGGACTCAAGTCTGTCTCTTCTGAATGATGTGCCTGAGAAAGATGGCTGCATATTAGTCTGGACATAAACAGGACACCTTGAGAGTCTTTGGGTGTGAGTCTTTGTTCTGTGAAGAAACAAAGTAACTTGGAAACAAAAGTAAAACACAGGACAACATATTTGAATGTATTTCCATCCACCCCTGATATTTTTGGTATTTGGTCCACCTTGCTGTTTTTCTATTAGCCTGAAAAGTTGATAGTAATTGATAAACAAATATAGGTTGAGCACTTCAATTGCTGCAGAAAGTCCACAAACAGCAAATGTTGGAATTCTTTTCTTCTGTGTTGCACATTTGTCACTAAAATGCCAAATCATGTGTTCAGTATGTAACAACTTTAGGGAACTTAAGTCTTTCTTGTTCCATATTCACCTAGGAGGTCAGTGGTTTTTCCAGCTGGGTTCAGCTCAGCCCTAGAGCTTCTGCAAACCCCATCCTTTCACTTTAGGTCACTGCCCTTCAAGCAGTGCAATTTGACTTTGAAACATTTTATTTGTTTGTGTTACTAAGTAACACTTTAACAAGATGTATGTGGCAAAAAAAAAAAAGGAAAATATTTCAAAACTCCACATTAGGACTTTTAAGGAGATGCTTTACCCAACTTTTGTGGTCTGCAAACTACTTTGTTGATGTACGTGGCTCTGGGTACCTCTTACCTCACCTTATCAGTGTGATTTTTTTATAAGATATAAATAAGGAGGTTCATAATTTTAGTAATAACAATAACATTTGCAGAGAATGTTAGATTATATATACAGTCATCCATCTGTATCCACAGGGGATTGATTCCAGGATTCCCAAGTATATCAAAATCTGCACATATGCAAGTCCCAAAGTCACCCCATGGAACCCAGGTATACAAAACATCAGGCATCGGTGTAGGCAGGTTTCACATCCCACCAATAATACTGATCTGTGTTCAGTTGAAAAAAATCCAGGTATAAGTGGACCTGTGCAGTTCAAACCCGTGTTGTTCAAGGGTCAACCATAATCTCTAATTTGATCCTCATTACAAATCAGTTCACAGATATGAAAGCAGAGAGACTGAGATCTATTAAGTTAGTGACTTGACCAAAGGTTTTTGAAAATTATGACCAAATAATTAATTAATGTGAAAATAAGACGTTCTGGAAAACTTCATTAACATTAGGAATATAGTGTGTTTAGCAATTTATTTGGCATACACTGTGCTAAGTGCTGGGGATACCAAGATGAGCTAAATACCATCCCAGTCCTCAAGGCCACAGTTAGTTGTGGAGACAAACAGCATGAAAGAATAAAATACTTTAAACCAATGTTAGGGATGTAGAGAACCTTTGCAAAGTCACCAGGAATCCCTAGAGATTCATAGAGCATATTTTGAAAGACTAATGGTTGAGGGACTGAAAGACTAAGATAAATGACAGATAGGTGGGAATGGGGGAGTGATTAAGTGACCAAAGTATTTGTGAATTTGGCTTAATACCTGGAGCCTAGTACAGAATAGAGGGAGCTGATTGTCCTGGTGAAAAACCCCTCATCTTTCCATACCTGGATTGTGTTCTGTGTTGTCCTAGCTTGTGAAGTCTTACTTCCACCTAAGTCAGGCTTGGGGGTCTAATTTCTGTTTCAGAGTGAGATTTCACATCAACAAAGTGTCTATGGCTAAAAGACAATGTGAAAACTCCACATTAGGATTTTAGAGTATAATCTAAAATTCTTAACGTGGCCTTTTGGGCCCTGTATGAAACAACCTTTAGACACCTCCCCAGCCTCAACAAGGGCTCACCAGCCCTCTTGCCTTCGGCTTTCTGTGGCCTGCTTCCCTCATCCTGGCCTTGTTTCTAACAGACATGGACATGTGTGCTAGTTGTTTTTTCAGCCCATGGTGTGTTTCTTAGCCCTTCAACGTCCTGTGTGTCCTTCGCCCTCTGGCTCAGAAAGCCTTTCCTAGTTCCTGACCGGGCTAGGGCTGCCTATTACAGCTCTCTTAGAACCTCACTTCTGCCCCTTGATCACATTCATCACACTGTACTTCAATAACTAATTATGCAAAACAGCAGAGCCTTTGTCAATAGCAGAGCCCTATTCTTCACCACTGTATTTTTGCCTCTCAGGAAGGCCTAATATGTAGTAGGTACTTTCAAATGAATTATATTAGTTTCACTAACAGGACCTTGGGTCTCTTCTAGTGTGATAAGGTTAATTCTTATTTAAATTATCACAATATCTTTCTTTGTCATCCTTATTTAAATATGTATCAAAGAGAGTTTGATCAAATATTTGACTAAATATCTTGATCAAAGGGGTTTTTTTTAAGGTCACTTTTTATTCTAGTCCTTAGAACCATCATGAAAAATAGACCTGGCAGAAATTGTCACTGCTGTTTTAGAGAAGAGGAATGTGAACACAGGCATTTATTTCTTCCAGAGCTTCTTTGTGGCAGAAACAACAACAACAACTTTGGCTGTAGCCTGTCCCTCCTACAACTGCATAACTATTGCTTTTCATTACGCACAGCTGCCTTGGGTTTGCATGTTACCAAGTAAATCCTGAATCATATTCTAATTTAAGATAATTCTGCAAGTGATTTAAAACATCTTGGGTAATCGGATACTGTCCACTCTACACTCTGAGCAGCCTTGTGATTTGGGAGCTAGTCTTCCAAATAAATGCTGAATTAAATGGATAATTGATTTGGTCTGATCTTATCCATCTCTAAGAGTCATGAGTGACAGGAGATAACCAAGCAAGCATGAAAGGCATCTGCTCCCACAAGAGAAATCTTCTCGCTCAAGTAGCTAAGCAAATCAAATGCAATTACCCAATGTCTGCATTCACATGCCACCTGAATCCTACTTAGATCATTTAACTTTCTTTAATTTATCGGCAAGTTTGGAGGGCTTTTTAAAAAATCTCTTCTGTACTAAGATGAGCAAGCTTACCAGTGAATAGACAGATGATAAATTATATCCTACTGTGGTATGTCAGATTCCCCCAACTCCAAAAAGGTAGGGCAGAGTGGCATTTGGAGAATGATTACATACATAAGTAAAGAGAAAAAAAAAAAACCTGCTCATGTTTATGGCTCAACATATAACTCTGTTCCCCAGGGCACTTGGATTTCAATGGAGTATGAAATGAAATGATCCATTTACTGCACTTAACTTGTATGGTTCATGATTTTGTAAAAGTGCCTTGAGGTGTGCAAGTCACTACATAAATCTTGATAATAAACACACATTGTGACATACATATTCTATTATATATGATATTAGTAAATTGTCAGTAAATCTTTTTATAATTGAATTTCTTTGCCATGTTGGTGCACAGATCTACTTGCTAAATATTAGTCTGTGTGTCTTTGGGGGATAAGAATAGATTGACTCCTTTTGTTGTCAAAATGGTTGGGAAGTTTCAAAACAAGCAACAGACCTTTCAAATTTGAGTCTATTTGCTTCTAGCAATTTTATAATTTACATTTGCAAATGCTTTTAAAAATTATAAATAAGTTCATATAGGGTTCCTTGAACACACCAGATAGTGCTTTAAAACTAAAGTTCTTTGAGGGCACATAAACAGAAACATGGCTATGGGACTTTGGGACTATGCATCTCTTTTTTTTTCTTTTTTTGACAGTGTCTCACTTTGTCACCCAGGCTGGAGTGCAGTGGCACCATCTTGTCTCACGGCCGCATCAACCTCCTGATTCTCCTACCTCAGCCCCCCAAGTAGCTGGGACTATACACCAGTTTTCAGTAGAGACAGAGTTTCACCATGTTGCCCAGGCTGGTCTCGAACTCCTGGGCTCAAGTAATCCATCCTCAGCTTCCCAAAGTGCTGGGATTACAAGCATGAACCACTGCACCCAGCCAGCTATGGATCTTTTAATGCAGTATAGTTTATAGGTCAACTAAGCGTTTCTATTTGGAGGTTAACCTGTCCCAGAACTTGGGAAAGGAAGTGGTGGACTGTTCTGTAGAACCAGAAGATTAAAGTCCGTTTTCTTCTCTAAGGTCTAGAAATAACTGCACGGGATTCTTGCTATTTGTAGATCAAGATGACTGTGCTCCTGTGGGATGCAGCATGTATGCTCGGTGTATTTCAGAGGGAGAGGATGCCACATGTCAGTGTTTGAAAGGATTTGCTGGGGATGGAAAACTATGTTCTGGTAAGAGAAAAGGGCAAATTCACATATTTGGACAATACTGAACCAGAAACATTTTTTCTGCTCTTTCTGACTCAAAAACTCCAGAAGGATTTATGTAATCAGCAGATTTGAATAAGTTATTTGATGTTAGCTAAAAAAAAAAATTGAATGACATGCATAGAAAATGAGACATATAAATATATTTACACAAATACATTGAGTTTATAGTAAAATTTATGGTTACACAATATATGCAGTTGTCATTAAGGGGAAGAATTTATAATTAGCTTTAGAAGCATGAATTTGAGTTCAAGTCAAGTTTATGACTTCACCAATTCCAATGAAAACACAACTTTTTTTTTTTTTTTTTTACCCCAGAAGCTTAGGTCATAAGTTTTAGTCAAATGAATAGATTAATGGATGGGTTCCTATTTTATATTAATAGCCTCAAAATTATAATTTAACGATTGCTGGAAAGATCTCAGTCCTTATGGTCTGAAACTCTGGCAGAAAGTGATTTATTTACATATTTGCCTAATCGGATAGGTGGGAACTCTGTAAAGACTAATTCAGCAGTAACTTGTGAACTTTATGTCCAAGATGCAGGGCGTGCCTGATGTTGGCAACAGCACCTGTAAAGGACTGAATAAGAATTGAATATACGATTATGCTTATTCTTTCCAACTAGTCCCATTTATATCAGGATTGCCTAAATATTGCACTAGTTCATAATTTTGCCCACAGATATAGATGAATGTGAGATGGGTGTCCCAGTGTGCCCCCCTGCCTCCTCCAAGTGCATCAACACCGAAGGTGGTTATGTCTGCCGGTGCTCAGAAGGCTACCAAGGAGATGGGATTCACTGTCTTGGTAAGAGGACACATGTGCTGGGGAGGAGGGCAGAGGCAGGCCTCAGAAATCGGGAAACAATGTGGGTGCATGAGCAGAGGGAAGACAGGATATAATTGGGGTGACACACATGTCAAGATTTAAAGAGTTGTGCGACCTGCTCAAACTGACGTATTTCCATTCTTGGTGAACAGTCAAGTTTGTGCCCTTGTGTTATTACTGCCCTAGTCAGCTTCAAGCCCCTTTGGAGGCTGTTTACTCCTCTGCCTTTCTAATTCTTTCTGGGGTTTGAGTGACACCAGTGTCTCATCAATACTTCCCACCTTGAGCCATCATGGGGGGAGTTGGACAGCATTTACTTGTCAGTGAATTTGGTAAGAGAAATGTGGTGAACTGCAGAGCTGATGACAGTTTGTTGGAAGTCACTGCTGTGTGTATAAAGAAAAGGAGGTGTGGCTTGTCAAAGGGCTCCTCTCACATTTCTTGATAAGTTCAATAGGTGGGAGAGTCAAGCCACTGACGTTGAAATACAAGTAAAGAATGATTCAACCCTCTTTCGTAATCCCCGTCCTCTGGCAAGGTCTGGGTGTGGCACGTTGGATTGGGAGTTCGCGTCGTGGATGTCTCATACGTTTCCAGGTGTCAGTAGCATCGCATCACGTACAAGTGAAAACCTGCCTGAAGCCGTCTGAGGCACGGTGAAGTGATTATCTGAAGTTTTACAGCGCTTTAAAACTTCTCTTTCAGTATTTTCTTTCCCTCCTTCTGAAAACCTAAGAAACTGATAAGAAGCTCAAATGATACTGCTTTCTCCCACTTGCTAAGGTTAAAGATGAAATATCAATCATAACTATCAATCTTTTGAATCTGGTTGATTTAAATCAGACCTTTATTGGATTAGTTTTGTGGAATCCACAGACATCTGTAAACACTCTTTTAAGCACATATTTGGCTGTCAGTCAGGAAAATGTCACTGCTCTAATTAAGCAGGCCCATAGATAATTTAGACAAGCTGATTTCATATTTAATTTCCTTTGAAGAGAAAGGAAGGTATCTCTTCTTGGATGTTTAAACTCGTTAGGCTCTGGTTTCTCACACTGTTACTAACTCATCTCCTTCCAGTATCGAGCACGCAATGGGGTGTGCTCACCCTGCCTGCATGGTTGGCACGGAGTCCTCAAACTCCATGAAAGCAGTGGGCTTGCTCCTCTATTCTCTCTCCCCCAGCTCACTCTTACTCTCTCTCCCCGCCCCATATATATATGTAGTTATAATACTTCGAACCTTGTCTGGCACATAAAAAGTGCTATGTAAAATTTTATCCTTATTATTATTAAGAGTAGTTGAGTTTCTTGGTCAAGCATACTTCTTTGTCTTTGCTTTGGAAAAGCTCTCTCTTTCTCTCAAGGTGATAGTTTATTGAAATTATATCAGGAACTCATAAAAGAGTCAGTTTGGGCCATCTGGGATAGCAATTCAATGTGTTAAATATTTAATTGGCCCCTATTAAGAATAAGGCCACAGTACTGGAAACCCTGAGAAATATCAGGATGAGGAAGGTAGTCTTTGATTGCAAGGAAAACGTGACCTAAAAGAAATATAACTGTGATCAGTGATGAAGAAGAGTGCACATCATAAGAGAAGTAAAAACCACAATGAAAGTTCAGAACTGGGAGAAATATTTGTTTGAGGTATTGGGAAAGATTTCAGGGAGGAAGTGTCATTTTGGAAGGAGCATGGGGGATAAGTAATTTCATTTGCAGAAATGTGAAGGGATGGGAGGAGTCCAGGCATGAACAGATCACATGACTGCCATTAAGGGTAGAGAGTAGCCTAGTTGAGCACTAAGTTTAGGTTATATGAGGGGAAGAACAGAAACTAAGGCTGATAAGGTAGTGTATGCCATAACAAAATATCCTAGACTGGATGGCCTAAGCAACAGAAATATATCCTCTCATGGTTCTGGAGGCTCGAAGTCCTAGATCAAGGTGCTGGCTGATTTGGTTTTGGGTGAAGGATCTCTTCCTGGCTTGCAGATGGCCACCTGCTCACTGTGTTCTCATATGGCCTTCCCTCTTTGATGTGGAGAGAGAGAGAAAGGGAGACAGAGAGCAAGAGAACGCTCTAGTTTCTCTTCCTCTTTTGTTTTCTTCTTCCTCTTCTTTTAAGGACACCGATGCTATTGGATTAGGACCCCACCCTTATGACCCCATGTAACCTTACTTTCCTCTTGGTAGATGCTTTCTTCAAATACAGTCACTTTGGGAGTTAGGGCTCAACATATGAATTGGAGGGGCAGGGACACATTTCAGCCTGTAACAGATGGGTTGGGTTACCTCTGCGGAAGACTAAAATCTGAGGGTTAGTCACTGAGGTTTCACTTCTCCAGTGAAACTGGCTGAGGGTCAGACAGTCAGTGTTGTCCCAAAGTTTCTACTAACCACATTACAACTGTAAAATGAAACAGGTGAAATGAATTTTAGCAATAATATTTTATGTATTCAAATATATCCAAAATATTAACATTTTAATATCAGTGTAAAAATTATTGAGATATTTAATATTCTTTTTTATTTTGGTACTAAGTCTTCAAACTCTAATGTGTGTTTTATACTCACAGCACTTCTTAATATGAACTAGATGCATTTCAGGTACTCAATACTCTCAAATGGCGAAGGCTAGGAAGTTGGACAGCAAAGTTCTAGGCAACAGGGAGCCACTGGCAGCATTTGAGTAAAGTGGTGCAATGATGGGTTTATCATCGTTGTGCTGGAGGGAGAATAATGTGGCACTGGTGTTTAGGCATGGCGCGGAGGAAACATGGGATCCAGGAATGAGTAAGGCTGTTCTTGCAGTAATGTAAAATTGAGAGGAAGAGAGGCCCTAAATGTTAGGGTGGCAGTAGCTGAGAAAGAAAAAATGGTGGGTAGTTGGGAAAGAAAGGATGACTTTTCTGATATAGTTTATTCTTATATAAAAAGCAAAACTGTTGTATTTGATATAATATGTATGTCAATGACAGGATGTCTATACAAAAGAGTTAAGTATGAATCTTTAGGATCTGAACTTTTAAATGTTTGCCTAGAGGTTGTTTATTAATCTCCAACTTTGGGAAGTCTCCTTTCCTTCAAAGCAGGAAGAAAGCTTCCAGCCTCTCTCAGGAGCTTAGAACACCTGCATGGGGCTGGGTGTGGTGGCTCATGCCTGTAATCCCAACACTCTGGGAGGCCAAGGCAGGAGGATCACTTGAGGCCAGGAGTTTGAGACAGCCTGGGCAACATAGCGAAACACTGTTCTCCACAAAAAAAAAATTAAAAACAAACAAGCAAACAAGAACTAACCAATCATAGTGATGCAAGCCTGTGGTCCAAGCTACTTGGTGGGTTGAGCTGGAAGAATTGCTTGACCCTAGGAGGTCAAGGCTACAATGAGCCATGATCACACCACTGTACCTCATCCTTAGCAACCAAGCAAGATTCTTTAAAAAAAAAAAAAAAAAAAAAAAAAAAAAAGACAGAGAGAGAAAGAACGGAAACAAAAAAGGAAAACAACACGTGCATGGGCATGCGTTGTAGGACCTAGTTCATCTCTCCAACATTCATGAAAGTCCCCTTAAACCTAAAAATGTATAGGGCTGTGCTCGCTTTGGCAGCACATATACTAAAATTGGAATGATACAGAGAAGATTAGCATGGCCCCTGCGCAAGGAGGACATGCAAATTCGTGAAGCGTTCCATATTTTTAAAGTCAGGAAACAACAGGTGCTGGAGAGGATATGGACAAATAGGAACACTTT
Source organism: Homo sapiens (assembly GCF_000001405.40). Classification (NCBI taxonomy): domain Eukaryota; kingdom Metazoa; phylum Chordata; class Mammalia; order Primates; family Hominidae; genus Homo; species Homo sapiens. Next base: position 109,992,485 of record NC_000004.12, read on the forward strand.
TACACTGTTGGTGGGACTGTAAACTAGTTCAACCCCTGTGGAAGATAGTGTGGTGATTCCTTCAGGGATCTAGAACTAGAAATACCATTTGACCCAGCCATCCCATTACTGGGTATATACCCAAAGGAATATAAATCATGCTTCTATAAAGACACATGCACACGTATGTTTATTGCAGCACTATTCACAATAGCAAAGACTTGGAACCAACCCAAATGTCCAACAATGATAGACTGGATTAAGAAAATGTGGCACATATACACCATGGAATACTATGCAACCATAAAAAATGATGAGTTCATGTCCTTTGTAGGGACATGGATGAAGCTGGAAGCCATCATTCTCAGCAAACTATCACAAGGACAAAAAACCAAACACTGCATGTTCTTACTCATAGGTGGGAATTGAACAATGAGAACACTTGGACACAGGGTGGGGAACATCACACACAGGGGCCTGTTGTGGGGTGGGGGGAGGGGGGAGGGATAGCATTAGGAGATACACCTAAAATAAATGACGAGTTAATGGGTGCAGCACACCAACATGGCACATGTATACATATGTAACAAACCTGCACCTTGTGCATGTGAACCCTAGAACTTTAAGTATAATAAAAAATATATATTAAAAAAATATATAGGTCTCTGAGAACATATAGCATGACAGAAGCTGATGAAGCTCCTCTTCCAAAGGCTGTCCAACTATAAAACCCTCTTTTTCTGTACCCCACTTTTCTCTCCCGTACTCTGTCTTTTCTGACAGATATTGATGAGTGCCAACTGGGGGAGCACAGCTGTGGAGAGAATGCCAGCTGCACAAATACAGAGGGAGGCTATACCTGCATGTGTGCTGGACGCCTGTCTGAACCAGGACTGATTTGCCCTGGTAGGTTGGTGGGTGGTCTACAGTGAAGGGGAGGGACTTGGCTCGGGGATATTCTATACCCTAATCTCTATTTGCATTAGAGATTCTAAAAATCATTCAGTTCAGGCAGGCTGCAGAGCTGGCTTTCCTGATTAGGACGATGCTGGGCTTGAGAATTTGAAATGGTCCAAGTTTTCTTAATTTAATAGCATCTGGAATAAATCCTTTTTTATTACTCACAATCCAATAAAGATGGGAACATGGGTATCTCTCTTCAACTGTGCAACTAATCTCACTATTTGTAATGTCAATTTGTGGGGCTGCTGGATAAGTTTTGCAGGGCTAGGCAGGTCGGTGAGAATGTCTGGACTCAGCATTTTAAATCACTTTCAAGGATTTTAAAATATTACTTTAAAAAGGCAGTATTTCTTGTTCTGAATTAGAACTCCAGCTCTCTTCTCTTTCTTTTCTCAATATTCATAATGGTTGACTCCTGCTTCCTGAATCTTCTTCCCATAACAGCAGTAACATCTCACCATCAGCACCCCAGAAGGGGAGCTGGCTTCACCTAGACCCTGGAGACCAGGATGGGGGTCTTTCCCATCACTGCCCACTTTTTGCCTGTCAGCCCTATAAGCAGAAAACATCCTAAGAAGAAAAATTCTGTGCTTACTTGGTCTCTGTTTTTTTTTTTTTAGCATATTATTTTTCTCAAATAATTTGCTCTTCTTAAAGGTACTGAAAAACTGCTTATATTTATGTAGTCAGCTGCACATGTTTACCTTTTAAGGAGCAGTGAACCATTCAATAAAAGAGACTTTACTATTATATTTTGGCATGCCCTCTGTTACGGGAACATTTTCTTCCTGCCAGAGTTGCTACAGTCTTGTCCTTGAGGGCTCCTCTGAAGGTTAGTTTTTAGAAGAAAGCACTGTGAGAAAAAATTTTCGAGACTCCAGGATATTGGAGGTAACGGACTGCACATTGATGGGTAGGTTTTAAACCATAGAGTTACCAGTTGTTCAGTGAGACCTTGAAGCTAACTGTCACTTCACATGGTTAGTGTATGTTTGTGTGTGACAGGTTTGTTTTTATGAGATCAGTGACTCTGAATTCACATGGCGACTTAGGACTGGGTGTTCTTTTACCTGCCTCCAATATGCTTTATGTATCAGATAATACTGAGCCCAAAGGAAGAACGGCTGGTTTCATAGTGAATGACTAAGGTCTAGCTAGGAAAGTGAAACTATTGTCCCTTCTAGTAGTTCTTCTGTCACTAAAAGATTTATGTCACAAACTATTCACAGAAACTAGTTCCTCATATTGATACTTGAAAGACACTAATCCATTCAGAAAGTAAAAGTAATGTCTTGGGTTCTTTTAGACTCTACTCCACCCCCTCACCTCAGGGAAGATGACCACCACTATTCCGTAAGAAATAGTGACTCTGAATGTCCCCTGTCCCACGATGGGTACTGCCTCCATGATGGTGTGTGCATGTATATTGAAGCATTGGACAAGTATGCATGCAAGTAAGTTAAACTGTCTTGCTGATGGCACAGAGAGATGCTATTCAGTCCATAACTTGTAGCTAATTTGTAAAATTTACACTCAGGATGTTTTTCTGCAATTAGGTGTTCTTTTGGAAAAATATAAACATACACATATGAACCACGTGTGTGCACTTCATTGCATGCTCCTTGTGTATCACGATGCCCCCTTCTAGTTACCGGTGATAAGTATAAATCTAAGGAGTTGGTGATTTCCCCTTTTACTGAAATAATTTGATGTTACTACTAGTATAGTCTAGGGATTAAATGTCTCATCCTGGTTGAAAAACTTAGGTTTGTGAGATAATTCCTTAAAACTTTTTTTTTCCATCAAATGTGCTTTATATTATGTGTGAGCATCCGTGATCTGTTTCTGGATTTACAAAAGTTTGGTACATATTCACACTGGACTTCTTGCCAGAGTCCAAAAATATTTTTCTTCAAAACTAATCATATGTATATTTTTTCTTCACTTCCTAACAGTTGACTTTTACATTTTGTTGTTCAGTAACAATTGCTGATACTGCAGCTGCTGCTTTTTGCTCCCTTTTTGCCCCCATAAGGGTTTCACAGTGGGTAACGTGTCAACCTGGAAAGGAGATTTGAGGAAGCCCTAAAACTATGAGACATTCCCACTGTGCTCACTCCGAAAACCTTTCCTGTGGACCCTTTAACAAAACCCAAACCCACAATAGCCAGTTCTGCCTCAAATTTTACTTTTAATTCATTTCATATTTTCAAGGCAATAGGAGGAAACTGATAGATACCAAAAAACTAATACGTCTCCCAGGGTCAGGCTCCTGATCCATTGATAATTTTCTCTGTGCCTGAGGGAGGGGTGATGAAATAGTCTGATCCTCACAAATAGCTACTATAACCTTAAAGTCTTCTCTTATTTCATCAGTAATAATGAACAGAATAACTAAATTTGTGGAAGAGTAAGCTATATTCTGTGACAAAGTGTATGGCCTTGCACTAGAAATCATGTCCGCATGACAAAAATAGTGAAAAATTGCTCATGAATACTAGTAAAAATGACTCAGTCCTTATAGAATTCTGTTTTCATATTCATATTTACATGCTATAATTTCCTAACCTATGATAAATTGGGTATTTGCAATAGTTATTGCTAGTTTTAATGTTAAGAATCTAATTGGTTTTGCCTGTTCATTGTTTCTGATCATCCCAAATAATGAAATTACAAAAATAAATGTCCGAATGTATTAGGTCATGGTTGTTTTCCTCCATGATACTTTAGACTATAAAAATCATTATAATAATATAAAGGGTACTACAGGGTTACATACTGCATTTAGAACAATGTTTTCATTTGGATCTGATAACATCCATTTATTAAATGATTGATGAACTCTTTAACACACTGCTTTTCTTTCTGTCATTAAATCCTGATGAAAATATCATATTTCTCTGATAATGTTTTAAACATGAGTTGCTACAAATGACAAACTGGAGATAAGACTCAAATTGAAGGACCTTGAACCTAAAGCAATATTTAAAATATTACCAGAGTTCACAGTAATCTGGATCATAACCTTGTTTTTAAATTGTATATTTAATAAAAATGTGGTTTAATTAACTATTCAACCCTTGCCTCCTCCTGCCCTGATGACCTCACCTTATCTTTTATTAATTCCTTAATAACAAGTCTCTAGGAAGTGCTTTACCCATCCAACTTTTATTAGAAACACTTCCTAGGCAGGTGTCATTCTGTACAGAGTGCTCTTCATGCTGTAAGCAGGTTTTGGAAGAGCCAGCTCTTTCTTCCTTTCTTAGAGGAACTGGAAGTTCCCCTCAGCCACAAGAAACCACAGGGTGCCCCCGGGGTGATGCAGAGGAAGTGAGAGTTGGGAGTCTCCATGCCCAAGGTATTCCTCGAAGATTTCCTGGTTTGGAGATGCTCAGGAGGCTCCAAACCTTCTGGGCTCAGAGGAGGTCCTCGTTCATTCTGTCTTTCAGCCAAACACCCTTCTGAACAGGTCTTCTTTAGACCAAGACCCCCCAACATCAGTCCTGTGAAATGCTTTTTAAAAACAGGCTGTATGGTCAAATCACGTTGAGAGATGCATCATACTCTACCCTCAATTTTTTTTTTTCAGGAGACCATCGTCTTATTATTACTCAAATTGGTTTCCCTGAGCATTCGGGGAGCAGAGTTTTTAAGGACAGCTTGGTGGGTTAGGGGAAGCCAGTGAGCCAGGAGTGCTGATGGGTCAGGGATGAAATCACAGAGAGTTGAAGCTGTCTTCTTGCGCTGAGTCAGTTCCTGGGTGGGGGCCATAACTTCAGATGAGCCAGTTAATTGATCCGGGTGGTGTCAGCTGATCCATCAAGTGCAGGGTCTACAGAATATCTCAAGCATTGATCTTAGGAGCAGTATAGGGAGGTTCAGAATCTTGTAGCCTCCAGCTGCGTAACTCCCAAACCATAATTTCTAATCTTCTGTCTAGCCCTCAATTCTTGATTCATAGTATATACCACAACACATTAAAAAGTCTTGTTTACCAGCCCGGGTAACATGGTGAGACTCCATCTCTACCAAATTTTTTTTTTCTTTTTTTTTGTGATGGAGTCTCGCTCTGTCGCCCAGGCTGGAGTGCAGTGGCGCAATCTCAGCTCACTGCAAGCTCCGCCTCCCGGATTCACGCCATTCTCCTGCCTCAGCCTCCAGACTAGCTGGGACTACAGGCACCTGCCACCATTTTTTATATTTTTAGTAGAGATGGGGTTTCACCGTGTTAGCCAGGATGGTCTCCATCTCCTGACCTCGTGATCCGCCCGCCTGGGCCTCCCAAAGTTAGCCAGGTATGGTGGTACACATCTGTATTTCCAGCTACTTGGGAGGCTGAGGTGGGAGAATCGCTTGAGCCCAGGAAGCTGAGATTGCAATGAGTTGTGATGGCACCACTGCACTCCAGCCTGGGAGACAGAGTGAGACCCTGTCCATAAAAAAATAAAATAAAATAAAATAAGCCTTGTTTATCTGTATTGAGTCTAGAATGTCTCAAAATTATTTGGCTATGGAAAGGCAAACTTATTTGGCCACAGAATCTTTTGTTTGGTTTAACAGAAGAACTAATTCATAACCAAAGAACTAGTATCCTGTGTCCTCCTCCCACCCTGGAAAATGCTGAATGACTATTCTGGGCCTTATAAGACTCAGTGAGGCTCTACTATTGCAGCTGACTTGGATCTCCAGGACTCTTGGCTAAGGGACTGACATATTCCTCAAGACCCCAGACTTTCTGAAAGGATCAGAGGTGTGGCCCATTAACATCCAACAGTTTAAAAGTGGTGCTGCTAGGCATTGATAGTAAATGGCTGTAACCAAAGATAGCTAGAATTAAAACAGCATCCAAGAAAGCCTGCAAGAATGATGGTCCTTTATGCTTTTGCACTCAGATCCTGATATCTCTTGCATGGTTAGTTCCAGAAGATAGCTTTTCAGAGGTGAATAGAGCATAAAACTCTTTTTGGAAGCAGCATGGTATAGTGGAAAGAACATAGGCTTTGAAATCAGAGAACCATTGGAGTCAAACCTGTCACTCATAGCTGTGTGACGTTGTACAAACTCCTTGAGCCTCAGTTTCCTTATCCATAATACAGGAATATGCCACCAAAAATAAAATAAGTAAAAGTGCCTAGCAGGATGTCAAACACACAAGATGGTTAACAAGTACTAATCCATTTCCCTCCTTCCTCTGTGAGTGAGTTGCCCAGTCCCTCTGACCAGCTAAAGGTAGAGACAGGCCTAGAGCCCAGATCTTCTGGAGCTTTGTCCAGTGTTTTTTCCATGCTGCCTCTTCTCACTATGGGCACTGGTGTCAGTTCTCTGTATTTTTATTCCGTTAAGTCCTTTTGGAATAAAGTGGGGACATGGATGAATAAATAGTTGATCCAGGGACCAAAGGGAGGAATTTTTAATAAGTGGGCATTACAGAGTGTTTAATAGGATGTTTTTCAAAGTTGATGCTTTTGCAAAGGATAATAGAATACAGATGTTTACCTGAGATCTTAATTGTTTCTAGAAATGCACATTCCCAGTAGATGGCAGCATTGCTTCATTTACTTCAAAAAAGTTCAGCAGTTCACTCTAGTGACAGTTTCACTAATGGGACAGCAGGGTGTTTGTAGGTGAACGTCCCTTTTTCCTCCATATAGCTTTTTCTCTCATTGAAGAAAATAGGCAAATGCCTGTATGTATGTTGTACTGGGTCTTCCCTTGCACTAGTAGTGATTTTTTTTTTTAAAGGAAAAAAGTTTTCTCTGCAGACTAGGTTATGTGTTCTGTTTAGAAACTGTACACATTCTTCTTTTATAGCCTGGTTTCAAGTGAGGAACTCTGCCTTCAAATTCTCCTTTCCTTTCACCTATACTCATTGCAATCTGGCCAAACATTTGTTTCCAAAACTCCCTTGGCTCTTAGGGCAGAGTTGCTTTGTGTTGGTTTTAAAAGGTGGCTCCTCAGGATTTTAGCCTAACAGAAACTGATCTTTAATCAATGTCCTGTAATGCCTTATAGAGGCAGTATGCAAATAATCCCCCATAAATCCCAGAGCAAACAGACGAAAGGGAGAAGTCCATGCTGCATTAACTTGTAAATCATAGCGCTTTCAACTGACCCCTGATGGATTTTCTATATGTTTCTAAAGAGCTGAGTCTGGAAATGCAGAGGTTGAGAGACAGCTGAATACTGAGTGTCAAAACTATCAGCGTTTTTGGCCAGGCATCTCTGATGACCTCTGTTTGTGTGTTGTCACAGCTGTGTTGTTGGCTACATCGGGGAGCGATGTCAGTACCGAGACCTGAAGTGGTGGGAACTGCGCCACGCTGGCCACGGGCAGCAGCAGAAGGTCATCGTGGTGGCTGTCTGCGTGGTGGTGCTTGTCATGCTGCTCCTCCTGAGCCTGTGGGGGGCCCACTACTACAGGTGACCCTGTCTTTCCTTTGGTACTGGAAACCTCTTTCTAAGACCTCCCAGGGGAATGCCTGTCTCCTTGAGATGAGATGTATGAAATAGTACCTCTACATACTACATTTAAAACGTGAAATAGGCTGGGTGCAGTGACCCATGCCTGCAATCCCAGCACTTTGGGAGGCCGAGGCAGGCAGATCACTTGAGGTCAGAAGTTCGAGACCAGCCTGGCCAACATGGTGAAACCCCGTCTCCACTAAAAAGGCAAAAAGTAACAGGCGTAGTGATGCACACCAGTAATCTCAGCTACTCGGGAGGCTGAGGCATGAGAATTACTTGAACTTGGGAGGCAGGGGTTGCAGTGAGCCAAGATCATGCCACTCCACTCCAGCATGGGCGATAGAGCGAGACTCCGTGTCAAAAAAAAAAAAAAAAAAAAGGTGAAATAACAGTACAATTTTTACTGTTAGCTCAGGATTTCATTGCTCTGAAACATCAGTGCTTTTACGTTTTCCTTGTTCCATTCCAGTCATTGTCCATACACCTTCATAGTATATGTGTTATTTATCAATCACAATATGGTTTTGCGTTCCACTCTCTTTGTTTAATATTATATGCTCCCCCCATAGCCTGCATAACTATAATTTTTCATTGCTGCCTTCCATTGAGTTGATTTTCCACAAAATATTAACTGTCATAAAAGAAAATCAATATCTTCCCTAATTTGGAAGGAAATTTCTGGTCCTCAGATTTTGTGCTTTTAATAATTTCAAGTTAACAATTAAAAACTGTAGACAATAACATTTATACATTTAATTCTTTAAAACTAACACTACATTAGGGTGCAGGCACAGGCATCACACTGCTCATTTTCTGTTTTCTTAGAAAGTAGGACAGCTTCCTCTATTATCATCAATATTGAAAAGCATTTTATGTACGGTTATAGTTTGTGTTGTACAAAATCAGTGAGTCATAAAACTTTAGGGCTGAAGGGGACTTTATGGAATTATCTAGTTCAATCTTATCATTTCATGGCTGGAGGACCTAAGACCCACTTGACTAATAGGTCCCAATTCTCTGAGATGTACAAAATATCTGCCACCATCTGTAGATAAAAATTTAACCACATTTATGGGTACTACACAACCACTCAAGTGGCAACTGTCTTGTGTTCTGGAAAATTCAACATATCAGCCAAGATGTACTTATCAGAGATCCTGCTATAGCCTAGTGTAGTGGTTAAGAGCACAGGCTCTGGAATCAGATTATACAGGTTCAAATCCAAGTTAGTGTCTAAATAACACCAGACATGTGTCCTAACCTCTGTATTCATTAATTTCCTTTACTATAAAGTAGGAACAAGAATAGTACTTATCTCAAGGGTTATTGTGAGATTAATTGGGTTAACCTAAGTAAAGGCTTTAGTGTAAGTCTGGCATATAGGAATTAATAAATGCTATCTGTTATTTTGATTTTTTATGAACTGTAACCTTCCCCCAAAAGAGTCATATGCTCTAAGCCCTTTTCTACCACCTCTTGAGAGACAAGATTCTTAGGCACAAACTTGACATTTTAATTCAGTAGTCCATCAATAACATTGTAATTTTTAGCCTGGTGTGTAATCAATATCTTGGATATGTGTAGAAAGAATATTGAATGATCAATGGTTCATCCCATTGGATCATTGCCAAAGGGCAGGAAAAAAAAATGGAAACTAGAAACTTAAGTTCATGCGTGCCATAATTATTAAGTGTTTTTTCCTATTTGTTGTGTTATGATATAGTATGTCTTATGTTCTGTTGGCATTTTTCAGAGATCTGGATTGAAAGCTAACGGCAAATTGCTGGCTTTTTAAACTTGGAATTCAAAGACCAGCTCAGCTGAAAGATGACTATAGACTTTACATACATATAAGAGTATCTTCAACCTCAGACTCTCATACTCCAAAAATCAGAAGTGAAAGGACTATTCCTTCAAAAAGAAAGCTCATCAGAACCCTTTCTTTTTCTCTTCACTGAAATGCATCCAGAGTTGTACAATTCTTCCTGAGTGAATCTATGGTTATTTACCTAACAATTCTGATCAGTGTACCTGCTTACCTCTCCGCAAAGTTTCAGCTATGTGCATAACTACGTTTGCACTATAGATCAATTCTGACAAGATCAAATTAAAACTGCTAGTCTAAATGTTGCCATGTCATACTCAACTGTACCAACAAATACAGCTCTAACATTGAGTTTTTAAGTTAGACATGCTAACTGTTTTTCTTTAAAGGGTTAAAATCAGTTATTTCCTCCCTTATACCATTCCTTGCCTGTCTTGTCTAGCTTGTTTGATACCGTTTGTCTTCTGTGTCTCTCAAAGGATTAATTGTTTGTGTGCTGGGTGTGGTGGCTCGTGTCTATAATCCCAGCATTTTGGGAGGCCAAGACAGGCAGATTGCTTGAGCCCAGGAGTTCAAACCAACCTGGGCACCATGGCAAAACCCTGCCTCTACTAAAATTACAAAAAATTACCCAGGCATGGTGGCACACAGCTATAGTACCACCTACTTGGGAGGCTAAGGTGGGAGGATCGCTTGAGCCAGGGAGGCAGTGATTACAGTAAGCCGTGATTGCACCACTGCTCTCCAGCCTGGGTGACAAAGCGAGATTCTGTCTCAAAAACAAAACAAAACAAAAAAGACTAATGTTTGTGAAACTAAATAAATTTTTCAAGTATTCTAATCTTATTAGTTTAAAACATGTGATTTCTTGGAAGGACTCCCTTGTAAGAAAATCAACAGGAAGTATTTCATCACAAAGTATAACTTTGTTTTTTTGTGGGTTTTTTTTTAACTTTTATTTTAGGTTCAGGGGTATATGTAAAGGTTTGTTACACAGGTAAACTTGTGTCACTGGGGTTTGTTGTACAGATTATTTCATCACCCAGGTATTAAGCCCAGTACCCAACGGTTATGTTTTCTGCTCCTGTTCCTCCTCCCACCCTCCACCCTCAGGTAGCCCCCAGTGTCTGTTGTTCCTTTCTTTGTGTTCCTGAGTTCCCATCATTTAGCTCCCACTTAGAAGTTAGAATATGTGATATTTGGTTTTCTGTTCCTGTGTTAGTTTGCTAAGAATAATAGCCTCCAGCTCCATCCATGTTCCTACAAAAGACATGATCTCATTCCTTTTTATGGTTGCATAGTATTCCATGGTGTGTATGTGCCATATTTTCTTTATCCAGTCTGTCATTGATGGGCATTTAGGTTGATTCCGTGTCTTTGCCATTGCGAACAGTGCTGCTGTGATCATTGACATCCATGTGTCTTTATGGTAGAATGATTTATATTCCTCTGGGTATATACCCAGTAATGGAATTGCTGGGTCAAATGGTAGTTCTGCAGTTAACTCTTTGAAGCATCACCGTACCGCTTTCCATAATGATTGAAATAATTTCCTCTCTCTCCAACAGTGTATAAGTGTTTCCTTTTCTCCAAAATTTCATGAGCATCTTTTTTTTCTTGACTTTTTATTAATAGCCATTCTGACTGGTACAAATTATAACGTTGTACCTTTGCAACTTTGGAATTGTTTATATTAGCCACTTGTTTCAATTTTTTTCCTTGAAGCCTTTGATTAAAACACATAATAACCCACACCATCTCTTGGTACTGTCTGTGATGCCAGATTCACAGCAGCCCCTCCTATCCTTATCACTCTTCCTGGAACGTCCAGGTAGGGCTTTTGACAGAGGGTTGCATTCCTAGAGGCAATTAAGCTGCCTATCTGCCCCAGGACAGTGGCGTTATTGTGGAGTCTCACAGATGCACTGCTCTAGGGGCTACTGCTTTGAGGATGGGGATCCATCTCCATGCTAAATCTCCCCACCCCCACCCCTAGTGAATGACGCCGTGTATAGACTTAGCGTTGAATGTCAAACAAGACAGTACTCTAAAAAACTGGATTTGGAAGCAAGATACCTAGTGTATTTCCTGGCTTAGCCACTATGAGATTTTCTTATCTTGGGTCATCCACTCCTTCTGTCTTTGCCTCTAATTTCTTTATGAGTGAGAGATTGCAGTGGGCCAGTAAGAGCAGCCTAGGCTTTGTGTCATCATGACCGACTTCTTACACTACCCTTGGTAGCTGTGTGCCTTAGGTGAGTCACTGCCATTTCCAAGCCCCAATGGCTTCACTTGTAAATGGAGCTAACATAGTCTGCCTCACACAGTTGCTGAGATATTTTTTCCACAGACTGCCCCACTCCTCCCTGCAAAATTAGTTGTTTTTTCATTGCTATATCATCAGTACTAGGACAGTGCCTGGGGTATAGTTAGTACTCAATAGATACCTGTGAATGAATGAATGCAAGGCTATTCCCCCCAACATACATGGGCATACATACACACACACACACACACACACACACACACACACACAAACACACACACACCCTCTACCTCACAGAACCTTGGAAAGAGTGAAACACTGTCTGGAAAGCATTTTGAGTTCTGCAGAAAAGACTGCCTTAAACATCTAAAGTTATGTTCCTAGTTATCTTCATATTTCTTCTCTCCCACACAAGTACTTAAATTTTAGTAGCAAAAGCAGTTAGTTGTCCCTGATCATCACTGAGTGGGCTGAGTATTTTGTTTTGTTGTGAGATTGTCTCAAATTTTGGCTTTATCACAGGACTCAGAAGCTGCTATCGAAAAACCCAAAGAATCCTTATGAGGAGTCGAGCAGAGATGTGAGGAGTCGCAGGCCTGCTGACACTGAGGATGGGATGTCCTCTTGCCCTCAACCTTGGGTAATGTGACCAAAGCAGATGAAGCAAGGAATTGGCTTGATATTAACCCCTATTCATTTTTTCTATTTTTTCACTGAGTTCAGAATGACTGGAATCAGTTATAGCTTCCAGCTGGTGTCAGTGTTAGCCAAGACCACATCAGCTAGGGAGGTCCTGGGTGGGAGGGTGGGGGAACTGTGTTGTTAACTAAAGGAATCAGATGAGTTATAATAATGCCATAATTTAATGGCACAATAAATTTTTGGAATTTTTTTCTTTCATGTAGATTCTTTCTATAACTTAGATTTGTATGTGTTATGTGAAGGCTTTCCATATTTTTAGTTAATACATTCCAGATACATGTCTTAAAAACCCAAGATTGTGCTTCTAATTTATTTTCTTTCTTTCTTTCTTTTCTTTTTCTTTTTCTCTGTCTTTTTTTTTTTTTTTTTTTTTTTTGGACAGGATCTTGCTCTGTTGCCCAGGCTGGAGTGCAGTAATCCAACCACTCACTGCTCACTGCAGCCTCGAACTCCTGGGCTCAAACAATCCTCCCAGCTCAGCCTCCCAAATAGCTGGGACTACCGGCACACACCGCCACGCCCAGCTAATTTTTGTATTTTTTGTAGAGACAGAGTTTCACCATGTTTCCCAGGCTGGTCTCAAACTCTTGGGCTCAAGCAATCCACCTGCCCGGGCCTCTCAAAGTGCTGGAATTGCAGGCATGAGCCACTGCACTCAATTTTCTTAATTTTCTTAATATTTCTTAATATTTCTTTTATTTTCTTAATATTTCTTTTCTCACACACATTTCAACTCCCCAAATTTCAGTAGCAAAATAGTTGCCAGATTTAACAAATAAAAATATAGGATGCCTAGTTAAATTCATACTTATACTGAAAGTTCAAATTTAAATTCAAAATTAAATTTAACTGGGTTCTTTATTTTATCTGACAATCCTAGATATTTTCCGAAAAGCACAGAGGTTTGGGAAATTCAAGATGTTTCATAAATCATCCACTTCAGTAATTGATCTTGGAACACTAGAGGGCAGTCTTGAAACAGGCTACACATTCTTGAATCAGTTAAGGGAATTTCCATTTCTAGAAACCTGTCAGAGTTAAGGACTGATTCAGTGTGTGCTGTTGGCATTATTTGTGGTATATATTGTGGAAGAGACTGGAATACATGGCAGGTCCATGGAGGATTGAATCCTTAGGGAAGAGCTATTACAGAGAGGTTATGGAGGAGCAAAGGCAATGTTTGGGGTCCTTCCCACATTATTACCCCTACTCCCCAGCTCCCATCTCACAGTGAATTCCCAGAAAGTAGCTTTCCTGTAACTGTGCTTTTGACTACCAGGTGATCATCTTTTCCTACCTGTAATAGGCATTCAGTGTTTCCTTATTTATTTATTTATTTTTTGGTTGGACTCAAGTATGGGGGAAAAAAATAGAGGCTGGGCAAGTTTGCTCATGCCTGTAATCCCCATGCTTTGGGAGGCCAAGGCAGGATTGCTTGAGGCCAGGAGCTTGGGACCAGCCCGGACAATATAGCAAGATCATATTTCTTTAAAAAGATTAAAAAAAAAAACTTTGCTGGGTGTGGTGGTACACACTTGCAGTTTCAGGTACTCAAGAGACTGAAGCAGGAGGGTCACTTGAACCCAAGAGTTCAAGGTTGCAGTGAGCTATGATAGCACCACTGCACTCCAGCCTGAGTGACAGACTGAGACCTTTTCTCTAAAGCATGAGAAAGAACATGAGTTCTAGCCTTACTCTCCCACCAGTTGGCTATCTAATCTTGAGCAATTCCTTTAACCTATGCAGACTTCTGCTCCCCACTCAGTACAAGGGGTTTGGATTAGATGATCTCTAAGATCCCTTCAGTCTTTATCAGTCTTTATCAATTCCACAAGTGTGTGATTCTAGGACTAAGCTCTAGAATGTGTTGGTTCTTTGAGGCCTCATGACTTTGCGAACTTCTAAATTACCCAGATGTCACTTGTCAGTCTACATGGTATTTCATTCAGGTTTTGAGTAGCAGGTTTAATTCATCTCATTAATTCATCATCATGGGAATGAAGGAGAAACACAATCTGTGTATGACTATTAAAAAATCAAAAGCATTTGCTGCTGTCATGAGCAACTTGTTGGCTCAGAGCTATGTTGGGAGGCCTGGGGCTGCTGAGCTCAGTCCCCCACAGCCGTCATAACTGTCGTTGACAGCAACTGCTGCTGTAGATATCAGTGGGAGTGGGAGAGAGCTGAACGCTCAAACTAGAAGAAAGAGCAGAAACAAATGTAGTTCTATCAGCTCCTTTCCCCACCTCAGCCCAGAATTTCGGGACCTATGTTCTTCTGACAGAGAGGCACGAGGTTAGAAAATTTGCAGTGCAGAGGGTTGGATTTTGACTTGAGACAGAAATAATGGGCATGTGTCTTTAAACAGTGGGTTGCGTGTTGATTTTGCAGTGTGTTGCTGCAGGAGATCATCAATGAGGAGGAGATGAAGCATGATTTGTATTATAAGAAAATGAAAATACATGTTCTGTGGATTCACACTTCCCTTACCAACATTTCCCTGCCTTCTGCCTAATTGACCCCAGTCATCATCCCTTTCTACACCTTTCTCAAAGGAAAATATGGGCAAAGAGATTGTTTTCTACTCCTCTTTCTGTTGTTTCTGAGTTGTGTGCTCCTTTCTGTGGAGCGCCCATTTCTGAACCAATGAAGCGTGATCGGCCAAAACCTTGGGGCAGTCCTTGCACTAGTTACTGATTGACAAGGAAGGACTTCACCAAATGATGTCCTTTGTCCTGTTGTATGGGGTCACTTCTTTTCTTTCCTTGTAGCATGGATCTGTTTTAATATCTAATCTATCTAGAGTGAATGTGAGCCAGTGAACTCTGGTCAGCCTGCATTGCAAGTGCCCAATCAATTTTTGATAATACAAATAATGACAAAAGTAATCATTTTGTTGACTGAAGAGAAATGTTGTTTTCTGTTCCTTCCTATTAAAATTCTAGGTCCCTAGGCTGTTCAACCAGCTTGCAAAATTGTCATTGCACTGGTAATTATTACTACCTTTAATGGCCCCAAATTACTCAGAACTTGGTAGCATGTTTAAATGAGTGTTATTAATGTGTGTGTGCGTGTGTGTGTATGAAAAGTTGTAGCACACACATATATTAGATATTATTTGCCTGGCCTATGGGCAGTTCTTAGAATACTTATGGATTCTTGGATTGCTTATGGTAAATCAGTGGCTCCAGGGATCCGTGACCTAAAAGCTGAGATTCCATAATTAGAATAGATTCTTCAGTTAACATATTGGTGTGCCTAGTTGCTTTAAGACAAAGTAACACAAGGCTCCTCACTGAATGTTGAATCTCTCTTTAGATAGAAAGACTAACTTCACAGGGCCTTTCTTCTGACTTTCACTTTCCATAGGATGAACATCGTAAAGCCATAGACTTTGATTCAATGTACGTTGAGATAATTTGTGAATTTTAACAATATCCTCTCTCCCTCCTTTTTGTTGTCTGCAGTTTGTGGTTATAAAAGAACACCAAGACCTCAAGAATGGGGGTCAACCAGTGGCTGGTGAGGATGGCCAGGCAGCAGATGGTCAGTTTTTATCCCTGGCTCCTGGTGAATGGTTATTTTTACTTAGATCCTGACTGTTTTTCAATGAAAAGTCTCATTTAACCACACACACACACACAAACAAAATAACTAAATTGTATAAGCTATGTGAATAGCTGGGCTGTATTGAAATGCCATGGACCTGATTTGCACTGGAGTTCTATCTTATATGAGGTTACCACGTTCACTCAAAACTCTAGTCACAGGGCAGCCCGTGTTCTTGCACTTTGAGCAAGAACACAATGGATGACTCCTTGATTTGAATTGAGTTTTGGGGTCATTCTTAAGGTCCAGGATCTATACTGGTAGCTGTAGGTATAGTCCCAGTTAAGTTGTAAATGGCTCCAAGAAAACATGTTCCATGTTCAGCCCATCTAGTGGGAAGTGTTTCTGTAAATTTAAGTTGATCTGAGGATTGTCCTGGGGATTTCAGAGTATTCAGGTCTTATCAGGGGCATGACCTTAGCCAGACGCCTGGCTGTCTGTGAAGTCCAGCCAAGCCACTTGTGGAGAGACCATAAAATCAACCCAGGTTCTCAGGAACTCAGTCTACTTCAGATAGAAATGAACTCAGATACCCTTAAGAGTTGTATTATGATCAGCCTTTTGGTTTTGGGTCTCAGGTTGAGTTTTGTTTCACAGGCCAGAGGACATTGTTTCACAGGCCTTTGTGTCGTGAGCCTTTGGAAAGGTTTAGAGAAACTTTTAGCCAACAAAAACAGCTCCTCTGCTAATGAAAGGAGCTAATGAAATATCAACTCCAATTGAATTTTCTATATTTTTCCTTCTTCAATGTGCTTATTATCATAACCTCCTCCTCAGATTTCTTTCTGGAAAGAACATAGGCTTCTTGTTTTGGAAAACTCACTCTAAATTCCCTTCTCATACCTATGTTGCCATGAAACCCCAAATACTGAATTCAGTACAACTTTATTACCTAATTTGAAGAAGGCCTGGATATTTAAGGTACACTTAAAAATTGAATATGAAAACTACAATAAATAGTATAGTATTTTATATGGATCATTACTTTCCCCTGATAATGAAAAAATTCAGCATTTTCAAAAATTTGCTTCAGTGCTTATTGTTATTGGTAGCACTATTAAAAAGTAATGGAATATTTGTAGTTACTACTTTTCCTTGAGCAGCTAAAAGTGCATAATTCTTACAATGGTAACCCACTATAGAGGCACATATAATGTAATTTTGCAAGCTAATAGCACAACGATTTTACAGGAATTTGGTTAAACTTAGAAAAGAACTAAGGACTCATTACAGTTAGCTGAGTACTCAGGAATATATTAGAATGTCTCTTTTGCTGTTGTTTTTTTCCCCCCGCACTGTACTGCAAACAATTTGACCCATTCTCTGTGGGCCACTCATATAACTATCTCCCAGCATGAGTGATCACATCCCCAATCATGTCCAGCTGTCTCATAAATGCCTGGGGTGAAAATGCGCATAGAGATTGGGGTGGGGGGAGATTGAGTGAGGAATGAAATAAAAGATCAAGTTTGGCTCTGAGCCAGTCTCTTCTCTGCTCCTGGAAAACTCATTACAACACAATACTAGTGTAGTTCCATAAAACCATCTTCACTGAGCTCAGCTGACATCAGTTGACACAGGTTAAGTGCAGAGTACATGCTAGGGGCAGCTGACTATGCCAGGGGAAAAGAAAAGAAATACACCTAAAATCTGAATTCAGACCAGGCACAGTGGCTCACACCTGTAATCCGAGCACTTTGGGAGGCCAAGGTGGGCAGATCATTTGAGGTCAGGAGTTTGAGACCAGCCTGTCTCTACCAAATGAGACCAGCCTGTCTCTATGGTGGAACGCTGTCTCTACCAAAAAGTACAAAAATTAGCCTGGCATGCTGGTGCACACCTGTAGTCCCAGCTACTCAGGAGGCTGAGGTAGGAGGATCCCTTGAGCCTGGGAGATGGAGGTTGCAGTGAGCTGAGATCTCAACACTGCACTCCAGTGAGACTCCATCTCAAAACAAAGATAGAGACTCCATCTCAAAAACAAAAAACAAAAAACCTGAGCTCTATCTACTCTCAAGTCATTTGTGGTCCAGATGGGGAGACAGAAGTACACAGTAAAAGCTAAAGAGCAATGTGTCAGGTTCTTTAAATCACCTCAACCAAGACTATTGTAATTTTTTTAAAAAAATTTTAAGATGCCAACCAAGACTATTTTAATTTTTAAAAAATTATTTTAAGTCAAGGTCCTACTCTGTCACTCAGGCTAAAGTACAGTGGCTTGGTCATGGCTCATTGCTGTCTTGGCCTCCCCAGGCTCAAGCAATCCTCCCACCTCAGCCTCCTAAGTAGCTGAGACCACAGGCATGCACTACCATGCCCAGCTAGTTTTTTATTTTATGTAGAGATGGAGACTCCCTATGTTACCCAGGCTGGTCTTGAACTCTTGGGTGCAAGCCATCCTCCCACTTCAGCCTCTCAAAGTGCTGGAGTTACAAACATGAGCCCCTGCACTGGCCTATTTTAATTTTTTAAAAATTGGGCTCAGGGTGGGGTGTGGTGTCTCATACCTGTAATTCTAGCACTTTGTGAGGTTGAGGTGGGCGAATCGCTTGAGCCCAGGAGTTCAAAACCAGCCTGGCTAACATGGCAACCCTGTCTCTATAAAAAATACAAAAGTTAGCCGGGTAGTCCTAGCTACTCAGGAGGCTGAGGTGGAAGGATCACCTGAGCCTAGGAGGAAGAGGCTGTGGTGAGCTGTGACTGTGCCACTGCACAATCTGCCTGGATGACAGAGTGAGATGCTTATCAAAAAAAAAAAGAGAAAAAAATGTGTCTAGAGTAGTTTGAAAATGGGTTATCTTTGTGTCTCATTTTCAGGCCAGTTCTTCAACCACTACCGTTTAGGGTCTGTCTTGCCTATCTATTGTTAATGATATGAATATTGAAATTTCTTTTGTCTTTCATATAGGGTCAATGCAACCAACTTCATGGAGGCAGGAGCCCCAGTTATGTGGAATGGGCACAGAGCAAGGCTGCTGGATTCCAGTATCCAGTGATAAGGGCTCCTGTCCCCAGGTAATGGAGCGAAGCTTTCATATGCCCTCCTATGGGACACAGACCCTTGAAGGGGGTGTCGAGAAGCCCCATTCTCTCCTATCAGCTAACCCATTATGGCAACAAAGGGCCCTGGACCCACCACACCAAATGGAGCTGACTCAGTGAAAACTGGAATTAAAAGGAAAGTCAAGAAGAATGAACTATGTCGATGCACAGTATCTTTTCTTTCAAAAGTAGAGCAAAACTATAGGTTTTGGTTCCACAATCTCTACGACTAATCACCTACTCAATGCCTGGAGACAGATACGTAGTTGTGCTTTTGTTTGCTCTTTTAAGCAGTCTCACTGCAGTCTTATTTCCAAGTAAGAGTACTGGGAGAATCACTAGGTAACTTATTAGAAACCCAAATTGGGACAACAGTGCTTTGTAAATTGTGTTGTCTTCAGCAGTCAATACAAATAGATTTTTGTTTTTGTTGTTCCTGCAGCCCCAGAAGAAATTAGGGGTTAAAGCAGACAGTCACACTGGTTTGGTCAGTTACAAAGTAATTTCTTTGATCTGGACAGAACATTTATATCAGTTTCATGAAATGATTGGAATATTACAATACCGTTAAGATACAGTGTAGGCATTTAACTCCTCATTGGCGTGGTCCATGCTGATGATTTTGCAAAATGAGTTGTGATGAATCAATGAAAAATGTAATTTAGAAACTGATTTCTTCAGAATTAGATGGCTTATTTTTTAAAATATTTGAATGAAAACATTTTATTTTTAAAATATTACACAGGAGGCTTCGGAGTTTCTTAGTCATTACTGTCCTTTTCCCCTACAGAATTTTCCCTCTTGGTGTGATTGCACAGAATTTGTATGTATTTTCAGTTACAAGATTGTAAGTAAATTGCCTGATTTGTTTTCATTATAGACAACGATGAATTTCTTCTAATTATTTAAATAAAATCACCAAAAACATAAACATTTTATTGTATGCCTGATTAAGTAGTTAATTATAGTCTAAGGCAGTACTAGAGTTGAACCAAAATGATTTGTCAAGCTTGCTGATGTTTCTGTTTTTCGTTTTTTTTTTTTTTCCGGAGAGAGGATAGGATCTCACTCTGTTATCCAGGCTGGAGTGTGCAATGGCACAATCATAGCTCAGTGCAGCCTCAAACTCCTGGGCTCAAGCAATCCTCCTGCCTCAGCCTCCCGAGTAACTAGGACCACAGGCACAGGCCACCATGCCTGGCTAAGGTTTTTATTTTTATTTTTTGTAGACATGGGGATCACACAATGTTGCCCAGGCTGGTCTTGAACTCCTGGCCTCAAGCAAGGTCGTGCTGGTAATTTTGCAAAATGAATTGTGATTGACTTTCAGCCTCCCAACGTATTAGATTATAGGCATTAGCCATGGTGCCCAGCCTTGTAACTTTTAAAAAAATTTTTTAATCTACAACTCTGTAGATTAAAATTTCACATGGTGTTCTAATTAAATATTTTTCTTGCAGCCAAGATATTGTTACTACAGATAACACAACCTGATATGGTAACTTTAAATTTTGGGGGCTTTGAATCATTCAGTTTATGCATTAACTAGTCCCTTTGTTTATCTTTCATTTCTCAACCCCTTGTACTTTGGTGATACCAGACATCAGAATAAAAAGAAATTGAAGTACCTGTTTTCAAATGGATACTTTATAGGAATTTTGGTAAAGATTTGGTGATGGGAGGATGACTTGAGGTTTGTGGATATTAGTTAATTATTCAGTATGATACCTCACCCAGCTAATTTAGATTTTTCTATATTCGGTTTTGCTTTCATTGACAATATCCTGGAGGATCAGAAGACTTGTCTATTTCTGCTGAGTCACTGGCCTCAGAAAAATAATAACCATAATTTCCCCCAAGGTTTTCTTTACCTAAGTGTGAATATTTTTTCTTCCTCCAAAAGCTCACTTTTGGGTTTAGATTAAATTTTTGTATTTTAGCACCTTTTTCTTTTAGGGGTTCAATGATGACAAAAGAAATGACATGAGAACACGGCTACCCATAACATACCATTATCTTTGTACCAGAAAAATCCTTGTTTCCTTCTTAATGACTCTGGTACCTTAGAAACTGGGACCCTGCTAAGTCCTTGACTAGGCTATCTACCAGCTCCTGGTCGGATTAAAGAAAAAACACACTTTGTGTTTTTTAATCACCAAGGCACCCTGCAGAGATATCTTCTTCTTGCAACTTCACATCTTTATCAGTAATGTCCTCTTTCCTTTAAAAATTCAAGTTTTAAGAACAGCATTTTCATGTAAAAACTTGATTTGTGTTTTTTCCAGACTGAATACTTTTCCTCCCTAACTCTCATCGTCTCATTGCGCGCAACGCCTGATTGAGCTTCTGTTTGACTAAATATCACCTACTATGTAAAAAATGAGCATATTGGCCTCTTTTCTAGCATCTAATAAAGGCTTAATACACTGTACTCTTTTGAAACCATATGATTCCAGTCCAACTATTAGCCTTGATTTCTAACTGATGTTCTTTTCATGAGAATAACTGATTATTGTGTGATCTTTGAAAATGTAATAGCAGCACTAAATTATAAATCCTTAAAAAACACACATACACATGCAACCAAAACCAACAAAAGGCTGAAAGAAACAGAAAATATCTAGTCAATTTAAGTAGCTGTGACAGGCAAGATTTTATGGTTTGCTTTGTTTTCTTTTACTTTTTATTTCCTCTTTATTCTTTAAGTCTTTACATGAGAAACCCTATTCCGCATTGGTTCATTCTGAAGCAGGAATTCCAAACTTTCCTGTTTGGAACTTGACAGGGTTTCTGTAGCTAGAGGCCATATGCTAGCAACAAGGAAAACACCAGGCTTTACATGCCTGGCAGCTTTCTACTTTGTGAACCAGGTAAGCTGTAACTGTTTCCCAGACTTTCATCCCTGCATATCGTTGGGATACAGTTGGTTACTGTGGTTAGATGCAGCAAAAGACAGATGCACAGGTGCCAGCTCATCCTCATTTTTGCTGGTGGTGGTTGCTGTCAGCCTGCGGATTGCCACCACTGTCCCTTCCTTAGTGTTTTCTAAATCTCTTTTTCCTGACTGTTGGCTCTGATGCACACTGATGATTCCAGGCCCACCACCAGACACAGACGCAGCATCCTTCCATAGATAGACTTTCCTGCCTGCTCCACTGGACGCTCCCTTCCACTTGGGAAGTGGGGAGTGCTTGACTTCATGGGTTTCCCTGCCAACTCCAACCTGTCCATGCATCCCATTGCATCGGAGTGCCGATCAGTGACTTTGTTCTAATCCTCCAAATCCCCTTCCTGTACCTTATTTTCCCAGCTCTTCTTGCAATTATGTAAGGTTCAATTTCTATAATAAATTACTTTTATTACATAGTACTCAATGATTTGCTTCCTTGATTGAACTCTGATACAACAGGCTAATTCAACCAAATATTCAAGGTACACATAATCCTCATATTATACAAATTCTTCTATATAATAGAAAAAAGAACACTCCTCACCTCATTTTATGGAGTATTATCCTTATTTCTATAGTAGACAAGTATAGCACAAGAAAGAAAGATTACAGGTCAAACTCAATTACAAATATAGATGCAAAAAGTCTAAACAAAATATTAAAAAATGGCCTTGGCAGCATATTGGAAAAATAACATTTCATGGCCAATTGGTAATTATGTAATAAATGAAAGATTGGTTAAATATTTAAAATCATTGGTTATCATTCAATATAGGACCAAAGCAAAAGAGAAAAAAATAAAAGCAAATTTTGAATAGGGGCAGAAATAGTTTTCAATAAAATTCAACATGTATTCACAACAGAACTTCTTAGCAAAAATATAAAGAAAAGTTAAATTCCTTAACTTGATGAAATCTATCAAGTCTGCTACTCCCAGCAAACATAATGCTTAATAATGAAATATTGAGAGTATTCCCTTTAAGATCAGGACTAAGGATGCAACACTATCATCACTTCTTTTCAGTGAGACACCTATTCTAGGTATCTTAGATAGTAATCTGACAGCATGATAATATCCCAAAGCAGTGAGATTAGATTTTTAACATATGTAGGGACTTAAAATTTTTAATTACACTCTATTTGCAGATGATATAGTTGTCCAGATAAAATGCAAAATAGGCTGGGCGTGGTGGCTCACGCCTGTAATCCCAGCACTTTGGGAGGCAGAGGCAGGCGGATCACGAGGTCAGGAGATCGAGACCATCCTGGCTAACACAGTGAAACCCCGTCTCTACTAAAAATACAAAAAATTAGCTGGGTGTGGTGGTGGGCGCCTGTAGTCCCAGCTACTTGGGAGGCTGAGGCAGGAGAATGGCACGAACCCAGGAGGCGGAGCTTGCAGTGAGCCGAGATTGTGCCACTGCACTCCAGCCTGGGCGACAGAGTGAGACTCCGTCTCAAAAAATAAATACATAAATAAACTAAAATAAAATGGAAAATAATCTATAGTTAAATTATAAGTAGGAACACAAAATCAATATATCTCAGGAATGCTTACTAGAAAATGTAGTTAAAATGTGTAAATTATAATAGTAATATAAATGTGAAGTAACCGTGAATAAATCTAACAGGTGTCCAAGCCCATTATGCAGAAAATTACAAGTGGAAAGACATTGGCTGGGTGCAGTAGCTCACACCTGTAATACCAGCACTTTGGGAGCTTGAGGCAGGAGGATGACTTGAGCCCAGGAGTTTGAGACCAGCCTGGGCAATACAGTGAGCCCCTGTCTCTTGAAAAAAAAAAAAAAAAAAAAGGGAAAGACATTAAAGATTGAAAGATAGCCTAAAAGAAGATATACTAAGTTTATTAATAGGAAGTCTTAAGGTTATAAAGTCATTAATTCTCCCCAAACAGATAATTCAATAATATTTTAATAAAAATCTCATGTTTTTTTCCATGAAACCTGGCAAACTAATTCTAAAATTTATATGAGAAGGTCTAGCTATGAACATCTAGATTTATCAGAAACTTACTGCTAAGAATAATTAAGAAAACTGGATAAAAAAACAATCCATTTGAAGGCATCAGATAAATACTAAGGCAATGAGGATTCTAGGGGCTAAGATCTTAGAATGAGAAATGCAAAGAGATAAACCTGACACTCAGTGTCACTCTTTCTCTTCCAGCGTTTGCTAATTTGTAAACAGCAGGCTAAAAGAAGAATACAGAGAATAGCAGTAACATGAGAAGTTGACTTGAGCTTTTGCCATTGTTATGAGGCTAGGAGACAAAAATCAGAATTTAAGACCTGCCAAAGAAGAATGGCCCTGATGACCAACCCAAGGCTTCACATAAGATATTTGAAGACCTACATTGTAGGCCAAAGATCTAACTAGAAACAGTCCAGCCCTCACAAAGAAACACAAATTCAGAATATTCATTCCCTAATAGAATTAAAGTTATTTGACCCCATCTTTAATGTTGCTACAAGCAAAAGGTGAACTCTCTCTGAAGGAACATAATGCCATTCAGAATCTCTGATTATGTCTTCAAATTTTTATATACAACATCTGGCATTCAATAAAAAATTTCCAGACAAGCCAGGGGATAAGACAATTAGCCAAAAACCAAGAGAAAAAAAAGGCCAAATAAGCAGACCTACAGGAGATTCAATTATTGAAGTTATCAAACATGGATTTTAAAATAACTTAGGTTTATATATTGAAAAATACACAGAGTGAGAAAAAGAATTTCAGCAAGAATTGGGATCTTTAAAAATAATAAACTTGAAAGGCCGGCACGGTGGCTCACACCTGTAATCCCAGCACTTTGGGAGGCCAAGGCAGGCAGATCACGAGGTCAGGAGTTCGAGACCAGCCTGACCAACATGGTGAAACCCTAGCTCTACTAAAAATACAAAAATTAGCCAGGCCTGGTGGCATGCACCTGTAATCCCAGCTACTCAGGAGGCTGGGGCAGGAGAATCGCTTGAACCTGGGAGGTGGAGGTTGCAGTGAGCCAAGATCGTGCCACTGCATTCCAGCCTGCATGACAGAGCAAGACTCCCTCTCAAAAAAAAAAAAAATTAATAATAATCTCGAAAATAGGATAACTAAAAGAACATATTAAATGGGTTTAACAGCAGATTAAACACAGCTGAAAAAGAATTAATGAACTAGAAAATAGATCAGCCAGGCATGGTGAAGCACACTGTAGTCCCAGCTGCTCAGGAGGCTGAGGCTGGAGAATCGCTTGAGCCCAAAAGTTTAAGACCAACCTGGGCAATATAGTGACATAGTGTGTGTGACTTCATCTAAAAAAAAAAAAAGAAAATAGATCAATAGAAAACATCCATACTGAAGCATAAAGAGCAATAAAAAAGAATAGAAAGTACAGAAAAAGCATAAGAACATAAAAAACTTCTAACATGTTTTTTAATTGTAGAAGGACAGAAGCAAGACTGGGGTAAAAGCAATATTTGAAGAGATCATATGTGAAAACATTATAATAATGAAAAATAATAAGAAACACTACAAAGCCAAACAATAAATACAAATCAACCATAATTACAATTTTTTAAATTTTTAAAGCAGTCAGAAATAAGAAACTTTATTTTCAAATGAACAAGATGGTGAGATAATTTATCCATGGAATTTATGAATGCCAGCAGAAAATATAATAATTGGCTGAGTACAGTGGTTCGCACTTGTAATCCCAGCACTTTGGGAGGCCAGGATGGGGGGATCACTTGAGCCCAGGAGTTCGAGACTAGGCTAGGCAACATAGGGAGACCTTGTCTCAAATAAAATAAAATAAAATGAAATAATAAAATAAAATATAAAATAATAAAATAAAATAAAATAGAATGATGTGTTGTAATAACTAGAATTCTACATCCAGCCAGCAAAAATAGTGTTTAAAGGCGAAAGCAAAATAAAGACTTTAGATAACAAAAACCTAAAGAATTGGACAACAAAACACCTGTACCAATACAAATATTGAAGAAAAATTTTCAGGCAAAAATAAAATGATCCCAGATGAACTCATGAAAATACAGCAAAAAATAAACAATTGAAAGGGTCAATATGTAGGTAAATGTA
The DNA here is from genome assembly GCF_000001405.40 of Homo sapiens. Taxonomy (NCBI): domain Eukaryota; kingdom Metazoa; phylum Chordata; class Mammalia; order Primates; family Hominidae; genus Homo; species Homo sapiens. The sequence goes on from NC_000004.12 coordinate 110,018,387, forward strand.
AATGAATATAGACTCAATGAAAAATAGAAAGTTACACATGAAGAAGAATTAAATAGAATGACTTGATCTATCAGACACCAGAAATTATTATAAAGCAATAGTAACTAAGAAGTATGGTACTCTTTCAGGTTAGACAAGTAGGTGAATAGAATAAAAAAGAGCTACATGGCCAGGCACGGTGGCTCACACCTATAATCCCAGCACTTTGGGAGGCCGAGGTGGGTGGATCACGAGGTCAAGAGATTGAGACCATCCTGCCAACATGGTGAAACCCTGTCTCTACAAAAAATACAAAAATTAGCTGGGCATGGTGGCGCATGCCTGTATTCCCAGCTACTCGGAAGGCTGAGGTAGGAGAATCGCTTGAACCTGGGAGGCAGAGGTTGCAGTGAGCCGAGATCACATCACTGCACTCCAGCCTGGTGACAGAACAAGACGCTGTCTCAAAAAAAAAAAAAAAAAAAAAAAAGAGCTACACACAGAAACTTGAAAGATGATTGAGTGGGCAATGCACATCAGCAGTATAAGAATGAACTATTAATAAATACAGCTGAGAACACTGATTCTCCGTTCATGAAACAATGAAACAGATCCCTATTGTAAGCATTGTACATACAACCAAGGTAGAATACAAACTTAAATTTGGAAGGTCAAACTATAAAGTTTCAGAAGAGTTTATTGGAGTATATTTAATAACCTTGGAGTAAGGAGAAATTTCTTAAGACCCCCCGAAAAAGGAAAATATCAAAAAGTTGCCATTAAAATTAAGAATCTCTAGTCTTCATATCATAAAGAGAGTAAAAATACAAAATTCAAGTTTTGAAAATAAATTTTTGATATATATAACTGACAAAGGAAGATATAAATCTAGAATATATAAACACTTCCTAAAGTCAATAAGAAAGAGACTAGCAATGTAGTAGATAGATGGGTAGAAGTGGGAACACAAACGTGACCCCAACACCACATGAAAAGATGATCAGTCACATTAGTAATAAGGGCAATGCAAAATGAAACCACAATGAGATGCCACTTCGCACCCAGCCATTGGCAAAAATTATTAAGTTAGGTAAGTACCAGTTTCAACGAGAATGTGGGCCTATCAATACTCTTACATATTTCTGGTGAGAGATACCTGTGTATCTCAAGGCACATACAAAAGAGTTCATGATCGCAAAAACAAAAAACAAAAAAACAAAAACTGGAAACCACATAAATGCCAACAGTAACATGAATTTTAAAATATGGTATAGTTTTATTATGGGATACTGTATAGCAGTTTAAAAATGAATTACAGCTATGCATATGAAAATGGATTAATCTGAAAAGCTGTTTAACTTGGATCAATCAGAAAAATAGAAAAGAAGCTCATTTTATGACCAAATAATTCCTTTATATAAATTTTATAAGCAAGGAAAATTAAACAGTATATTGTTTGTGGATATAGGCTTAAGTGGTAAAACTACGAAGGAAAGCAAGGGAATCACTGCAAAAAAAATCAGAAGTGTAGTTGTTGGCTGGGCACAGGGGCTCACACCTGTAATCCCAGCACTTTGGGAGGCCGAGACAGAAGGCTCACTGGAGGCCTGGAGTTCAAGGCTGCAGTGAGCTATGATCAGCCCGAGATGACAGAGTGAGACCCTGTCTACAACAAACAAACAAAGAAACAAATAGCAACAACAAAGGAAAAAAATCAGGAAAAAAGAGTAGTTGTCTTTGGAGCTAGAAGAGGATGCCTTCAGTGATAGGTACTCCAGGGCTTCTGAGGGTCTGGTATGTTCTAGCTCTAAGTCTTTAGTGGTGGACACATGAGTGTTTTTTTATTATTATTTCTCTGTGAAGTGCCTAATACGTTTTTTTTTTCACTTTTTGAAAAGAAATTGTCCTTCAGTTTTCTGTTAAGCACTTCATGGATTCCAAAGCAGAATTATTCACATTCTTTGCATTCATTCGGGCTGGGTTTGCTCAACTCTGGACCCCTGAAGCCACGGAGCATGCCTGCTGGATTCCCATGTTTCAGAGCGGAAATTTTCCTCCCCAGTGTGAAGAGCCTCAAGAGAGGCAGAAGATGCTGCTTACTACACACCTTGAACACGTAGAGGGTTAAAGAAGATAATGGAAGAGCTGAGGAAAGAAGAACTGTGTAATGCACAAGAGACAACACAGAAAAAATAGAAATCGGCATTTGGAATCTCATAAGAAATTATTTGGTTGGGGATGATAAATATGATGTTCATAATTATGATGAGAAGGAGCATTCGAATTCTGGTGCTTTGGTTTGCTCTAATCATCCATCTCTTTTCTTCTATTAATTTATTCTGACCTTTGAGAATCTCTTGTTTGGGTTTTCCCCCGCCTTTCAGTTTTACATGCTGCCTTTTAAATTCTTATGCAAGCTTTTCTGTGTTTGCTAAATTAAGTAGACCCATAAAGCAATACATATGTTTGTAGTGAGCTGGAAATTACAGTGAAACTGTCTGTACTTCCTGCATTCATGAGATAATGAATGGGGTAAATTTTTAAGGAATTAGAATAGAAAATCAAGATCACAAATGGTAGGAAGCAGAAGCTTTCACAATCTGGCTCCAGGGTTTTCTGCCTCTAACAACTCTTTAATCCTCCACTGTATTAGAACTCTCAGAACGAGCTTCGTTCCTTTCTTATTCCAAAATTACAGCTCTCTTTCCATTTGTCTCAGGTTCCAAATGACTTTTTTATCCCTGCACAATTGTTAGCATCTTCTTATTTTAAAACTGTCATCAAAACTTAGCAAGGTTCTCAGAAAACAAGGCAAATGGAAAATTCTGTGCTTCAGTGATTGCTCAGAGCCTTGAAGTGGGCACTCTGTCTGCTCATGATGAGAAGAGAGAAAAGACCTTCATAATCTTAGCTCTGCAACTGGAGAATCTTAGAAATACAGCATACCATAGAGGCCATAGAGTTCTGCTCAAAGTAAAATTCCCTTTCCTATGTCTCTGAAGAAGGTTCTTTGGCTTCAGCTTTTGACTTACTGCAGTCACAGGGAGCTTGAGACTTCAACAGACAGCTGTTATACTCTTGGAGTTGTAAGGAAATTCTTCCTTAGAGAGGTATTATAGGCCTCCTCTGGGCTAGCTTGGGTCTGTACAAGATCAATTCTTCAAATATGAAAAATGCCGTCCCCTCAGTTCGACATGTCTCCGGAGAGTCTTTTCTGAAAGTCAACATCCCTGCTTTTGTTGCCCATATAGTCTGTTTTTAGGCGTAGTTTTAGACTGTGGTGTTGCCTCTTGTTTGGAGGCTTGGCTGCAGTATGGCAGCACCCTTTTTAAAGTGAGATGCCCAAACTGAGTATCAGACTCCAGAGGAGGCCTAAATCCTGGGGGTACTAAGTGCTTTATTCCCCCTTTTATACTGAAGTTCCCAAATTTTGTTAGTTTTGATAGAAACTACGTGACACAGGAAGCATGTATAGAAATAATCAGGGATCAGCATCAGAAATCCACTGGAGTAGCTGCCCTACAGATATCTTCATTGTAAAGTCGCCACAGGTAGTAAGGCTTCCATCAAGATATGAAGTGAAATATCCCCCCTGGGCCCTGGGCAGGAGGAGCCCCAGGAGCTGAGTCTACTCCTCAGTGCCCCACCCCAGGGCCTCTTGTCTCGTCTTCTCTCTGCAGGTCTGTTCTGCTCTCCTTCTTCTCTTGGCGAAGTGACCTTTCCATGTCTTTTATGTTTCCTTAACTTTGGTTTGCCTGTGCTCCGTGTAGCATGAAACGGACCTAGCCCAAACTCTGTAAACTTTTCAAGTGTTCTCCCATTGCCATTGCCCAGCTCAGTGTCTCTCAAACTTTAGTGTCCACGAAATCAACTGGGGATTTTGTTAAAATTCTGATAATAGTTCCATAGGTCTAGGATGGGGAGTGCACATTTCTACGAAGTTCCCAGCCAACGTGGATGCTGCTAGTCCACAGATCATACTTTGAGTAGCAATGAATCAGGCTGCAGCTGTCCCAGTTTTCCAATTCCCCAATTCCAACTTCCTGGGAAAGGGAATTTTATGACTGTGTTCCAGTTTTTGGATTTGTTCAGCCTGGGTCAGGTGTTCACTTTGGTCCAATTAGCTACTGGAAGGGGAACAGATGTACATGATACAAATGTGGCCACCTTGACTGGCCCTTTCAGCAGAAGCTGTGGGTGGACTGGGTAGTTTAAAATGCCAAAATAAGTCTACAGCAGAGGTCACTAAAACCCCTAGGTCGCCTTTGTATAAACGGCTCACTAAACCAAATTTTGCCTACCTTGCACTTGTGCAATTTTTCTGATGGGAAATACTGTCATTTTTTCTTTTTTTTTTTTTTTAAGTTCCAGGATACATGTGCAGGATGTGCAGGTTTGTTACACAGGTAAACGTGTGCCATGGTGGTTTGATGCACCTATCAACACATCACCTAGGTATTAAGCCCCGCATGCATTAGCTATTAACCCTGATGCTCTCTCTTCGTGCACCCCCACCCTACCCCGACAGGCTGCAGTGTGTGTTGTTCCCCTCCCTGTGTCCATGTGTTTTCATTGTTCAACTCCCACTTATAAGTCAGAACAAGCTATGTTTGGTTTTCTGCTCCTATGTTAGTTTGCTGAGGATAATGGCTTTGAGCTCCATCCATGTCCCTGTAAAGGACACGATCTTGTCACTTTTTAATGGCTGCATAATATTCCATGGTATGTATGTACCACGTTTTCTTTATTCAGTCTATCATTGATGGGCATTTGGGTTGATTCCTTGTCTTTGCTATTGTGAATAGTGCTGTAATGAACATACGTGTGCATGTATCTTTACAATACAATGATTTATATTCCTTTGGGTATATACCTAGTAATGGGATTGCTGGGTCAAATGGTATTTCTGGTTCTAGGTCTTTGAGGAATTGCCATATTGTCTTCTACAATGGTTGAACTAATTTCACATGCCCAGCAACAGTGTAAAAGCATTCCTATTCCTCCACAACCTCGCCAGCATCTGTTGTTTCTTGACTTTTTAATAATCGCCGTTCTGACTGGTGTGAAGTGGTGTCTCAATGAAGTTTTGATTTGTATTTCTCTAATGATCAGTGACGTTAAGCTTTTTTTCATGTGTTTGTTGGTCACATAAATGTCTTCTTTTGAGAAGTGTTTATTCATGTCCTTTGCCCACTTTTTAATGGGATTGTTTTTTTCTTGCAAATTTAACTTCCTTGTAGATTCTGGATATTAGGCCTTTGCCAGATGGATTGATTGCAAAAATTTTCTCCCATTCTGTAGGTTATCTGTTCACTCTGATGATAGTTTCTTTTGCTGTGCAGAAGCTCTTTAGTTTAATTAGATCCCATTTGTCAATTTTTGCTTTTGTCATAATTGCTTTTGACATTTTTGTCATGAAAACTTTGCCCATGCCTATGTCCTGAATGGTATTGCCTAGATTTTCTTCTATGGTTTTTATAGTTTTTGGTTTTACATTTAAGTCTTCAATCCATTTTGAGTTAATTTTTGTATAAGGTGTTAGGAAGAGGTCCAGTTTCCATTTCCTGCATATGGTTAGCCAATTCTCCCAGTACCATTTATTAAATAGGGAATCCTTTCCTCACTCCCTGTTTTTGTCAGGTTTGTTGAAGATCATATGATTGTAGATGTGTGGTCTTACTTCTGACCTATTCTGTTCCATTGGGCTATGTAAGACTGTCATTTTCTAACATAACTGACATGGTTCTGATTTCCTTTGAATCCTGTTCACACAGTTAATGTATCTTGTTTCTGATGCTTGTGTGAGGCTCAGGCCTATGAAATTCATATATTCCTGAAAAGAAAAAATATGAATTATCCTTTTATATCTTCTCATATTTTAGATGCTATTCTTCTGTCATTTTAGTGAGATTTTAGAAGAAACGAAAGACTTGTTCTTAGTCAGCCATCCTAAAGAAGAAGCACTTTACATTGTATTTTTCAAAATCCTTGTGCCAGGCCCTGAACTCAGTGCAAACCAGCCATCACTTATGTGAAACTTACAATTATAATGGTTAACTGTCCCTTTTGGATAGCCTCTCCAGGTGGGTCAGTATGGCCCTTCTAGGGGTCTGTCTGTGTGAGATCCAAGTTGTGGGAATGACATCGACAGGAAAACTTTGTAGAAGTTCAGAACAGAAACTTCCACTTTACACCCCCTCCATCCACACACATATCAGATGCTGACTTCCCTAGACACTACGACAGCAGGAACGATGTCAGAACTTTGCTTTTACTCCCTGATCTAGATGCTTACTCCATGGTGACGATTCTATAGTGCTTTCCCCTCCCAATTCCGGTATGTTTTAGTTTCAAGTATATAGGTAGTTTCTAAGGATTGAAGCACTTGGAGGAGTGTGCAGTGGGGAGGGGATGACAGGGATGGATACAGCAGGATAATGAGAACGTTCTCTGGCATGAGTCTGGGGAAGGCAAAGAAGTGCTTCTAGCTTGGGGAGCTTAGGAAGAAATCCTAAAGCAATTCATTTCAGTCCTGGATTGTCCGACTTGGTCCTACTGTTCATTCACTTTTTTAAAACTAGTCCTAGAAAAATCATATGATCCATTTGGGGTTTGGAAAAGGTCTTCCATAATTCAGAGAACTGGCACATTAATTTAATCAGAAACTTGGCTTATTTTCCATCTCTTCATTTTGTCAGTTAAGAGGCATAGCCACAGTGGATAGATTCATTCTAGATGCAAAGAAAATCAAAGTACTCTTAGAGATTTGTTGGGCCAAGGAGACACTCACATGGGACCACCTTGTAGATCAATTTTCCAAGCCCATGAAAAATAAATGGAAGTGTCTCTGTGTGAGCCTGTTAGTACCTGATCTGCTGCATTATGCATGATCCCGCCATGTTAGTGGTGCATCTATCCATCACACTGTGTCAACAAGGATTTTCCATGTTTGCCAAATGGTAGATATCAAGACAAAATACAGTTTCCTTACTCTGGTTTTCTTGGCAGGAGCCTCTCTTGTACTTTTTTTTTTTTTTTTTTTAACAGCTATCTGTAATTTATCTTTGTTTGGAATAGCCACAGAGGTTTGGCCTCTTCCCTTAGGGGACAGGTTTAAGGGCTTATAGACACTTCTCTAGTCTTAATATTTGCTTGATAGTTTTTCTTTTTGCAGCACTGTCATTTTTTAAAATTTCAGATAAACTTGTTATCACTAGTCTGTCTAAAAGTAGATCCCATGTAGGTTGTTAATAAATATGACTCTCATGTAGATGTTATAAGAAAAAACAAAACAAAACAAAAAATCTGATTCCTCCTCTCTGTTAGCTTACACAAATGTATACAGATATAAAGCAAACAGCATTGTGAGATTTTTTTTCTGAAAAAAATTATTCACTTTAACGCTATAGTAGGTAGAAGGGAAGCTTGCATTTGAATTACACTCTGATAAACCCGGTAATTATACTCGCCTAATTAGAATGATTTCTGTATTTAATAGGCATGAGTTTTTGGATACCATAGCAAGTACAAAGCCCATGTGCCATTTTTCTTTTCTTCCACAGATTTAATCTATGCTAATAGCTATTCAAACTCTTTCAGACTGCTGAATATTTGTCTTTGGTGCATTTTTCACCCTTGGCTGAGATAGTAATTGCAGCTGTTAAAAAAATTTATTTTCATTTTGTTTATTCTGTCTGTGCTCCAAATCTCCTATTCTAATTTATTTTATATTGCTCTCTCTGCTATTCTAGATTTCTCAATTTCTTCTGATTAAGGACTTTTGTTTAAATCTTGTGGATGGCAATTATTAATTTGTCAGAAAAAATATTTCAGTCCAAATCACTATTGATTTGGATTGTCATTAGATTCAAATATTTGAATAATTGATAGTTGTATATACAAATGAACCTTTCCTACTCAACTTTAATAGTATCTGAAGCAGTGGTTTAAGTGGCTACACTTATGAAACTTATGAAGTTCCATAATTGTCAGTTTTGATTTTTTTTCCACTATGCCCTCAAATTAAAGACCTATTTTTTCAGTAACCAAGAATTCCAGAAGCCAAATCCCTCTCTTTTCCTAAAGGGTGACTTTCCTGAAGGAGAACAGAACTCATTCATAAATTTAAGTCAGTTGTTCTTTTGTTTCAGAATAGTTTGAGACAAATTTGGATAAATGTATAATTTTTGATATGAAAAGTAGGGAAATGGATATGAACCTAAGCCATAAAATTTTCACTCAGCTTTATAGACTTAAACAGAGCTGGAATAGTGTTCTTTTGTAACTCTAGATGTCAAGAGAAGCAAGTTTCTGCTACTTCCACGTTTGAAGACTGTGAACATTTACTACTACAGCGAGGTAAAAGTGTTTGTAAGTGGTACCTGTATGAACCATTTCTTTTTTATTTTAATGGTTAGGTGTTTACTTTTTATTAAACATTTTATTATAAAAATGTTCAAAGTATAGCCAAGTGGGAAGAATTTTACAGTGAACACCCATAAAACTACTTAGATTCTTCCATAACATTTTTCTTTACTTGTTTATCACATATCTAACCTTCTATCCCTCCCTTGATGCAGCCATCAATCCATCTTATTTTTAATGCTAATTATTGTTAAGTTGCAGATGACAATACATTTCATTCAAAATGCTTTAGTGTGCAGATTAATAAGAGTTCAATATTTGTTTATAGTTTATTTTTCTTTCAGGGTAAAATTTCCTGAGTTTGTCAAAATGCATACATGCACCTGTGTAACTGAAACCCCTATCAAAATATAGAACATTCCCTTGCTTCCTCCTTTACCCCTATCCTTACCCATAACTCCAGGTAACCACTGTTTGGACTTTTTTTCACCATAGATAAGTTTGCCTATTCTAGAACTTCAATTAAAGCCAATCATGTGTTATGTACTCCTTTGCATATGTTTTCTTCCACTCAGCCTAATTTCTTTCTTCATCCCTGATTTTCATTCCTTTTTATGGCTAATATTCCATTGTGTGAGTATATTATATTTTGTTTATCCATCCTCTGGTTTGTTTTTAGTTTTTAACTACTATGAATAAAGCCACTATGAATAGTCTTCTACAAGTCTTTTTGTGTCAATGTATTTTCGTACCTCCTGGATAGGACTGTAATTGTAGGGTGAGACAATAGGTGTATTTTTTAGTTTTATAAGAAACATACACAATTTTTCTAAAGTGATTATTTTATATTCCCACCAATAATGCATAAGACATTCAAATATCCTGCAGTTGATCTTTTTTTAAATTTGTACCTATTCTGGCAATGTGAGCGATATCTCATTATGGTCTTAATTTGCATTTCCCAGATGTTTTATTTTTATTTTATTTGTTTATTTTTTGAGACAGAGTCCTGCTCTGTTGCCCAGGCTGGAGTGCAGTGGTGTGATCTCAGCTCACTGCAACCTCTGCCTTACAGGTTCAAGCAGTTCTCCTGTCTCAGCCTCCCAAGTTGCTGGGACTACAGGCGCATGCCACCACACCTGGCTATTTTATTATTATTATTATTTTTAGTAGAGACGGGGTTTCATGTATTGGTCAGGTTGGTCTTGAACTCCTGACCTCAGGCAATCCACCGCCTCGGCCTCCCAAAGTGCTAGGATTACAGGCGTGAGCCACCGCGCCTGGCCTACATGTTTTATTTCTAATAGTTTTTAGGAAAAACACAATTAGAACATAAAGTCCATAATTGCAGGGCCAAATAGAAAATAAGTCAATTTAAGATAAAGTTCAATAAAAATACTAGATAAATAATAGTTGTGGTGGTATATGGATATAGCAAAATTTGTTGAAGTGGTCTGTGAATAAGTAAGGTTTGAGAAATGCTTTTACAGAGGAGGTAATTTTTCAGACTTCCTTGATTTTCATGGCTTTCTCTTTTGTTTTTTGAGATGAGGTCTCACTCTGTTGCCCAGGCTGGAGTGCAGTGGCATGATCATAGCTCACTTCAGCCTTGACTTACTGGGCTCTAGTGATCCTCCCACCTCAGCCTCCTGAGTAGCTGGGGACTACAGACACGTGACACCATGTCTGGCTAATATTTTAAATTATTTGGAGAGACAAGGTTTCACTATGTTGGCCAGGCTGGTTTCATGGCTTTTTTAAATCAAGTAAAAAAAATCAACATGTACAAATATTTAAGAAATTTTAATTACCATCATCCACTACAGAGTGATTGAGCTCTGAGATTAGGTTTCTATGTAAGCCCAGGGAGAATAAAGATTTCAGGCCTCCCCCCTGCTTTTGAGACCGTGCTTTGAACAGTCTGATTGTATAAAACCGGAAAAAGAAAAGAAAACTATATTACCAAGACAAAGTGGCAAGGTGGATATTAGTACACATACTGGAGTCAGCCTGCTGGATTTGATCCTGGGTCCCACCACTTAACTAGCTATGTGACCTTGGCAAATTACCTTACGTTTCTGTGCTTCAGGTTCCTTGTGTATATAATGTGAGTTATAATAGTACCAACTTTGTATGGAATTGTGGGGAGTATATGCGTAAAAACATGTGAACATCATGTAGTAGGCTTGACGTAGGGGTGGGTTACTATTATTATCACTACTGTAATCAATCAGCACCAATACATTCAAGTGAAAAATGAGGCAGGGGAATAAATACTTCTAGAAAGCAGAAAGACTTGTGCCTTCTGGCATCTTATTGTATCTTATTGTTAACCTGCCATTAATTTCCCTTTGATATGGTTTGGATCTGTGTCCCCAGTCAAATCTCATGTTGAACTGTAATCCCTAGTATTGGAGGTGGGGCCTGGTGGGAGGTAATTGGATCATGGGGGTGGATTTCTCATGAATGGTTTAGCTCCATCTCCTTGGTGCTGTCTTTGTGATAGTGAGTGAATTCTTGTGAGATCTGACTTTTTAAAAGTGTGGCACCCCGCTTTCTCTTTCTTGCTCCTGCCTCCCTCCATGTGAGACGCCTGCTCCCCCTTCACCTTCCACCATAATTGTAAGCTTCCTGAGGCCTCCTCAGAAGCAGATGCCTGTATTATGCTTCTTACACAGCCTGCAGAACTATGAGCCAATTAAACTTCTTCTCTTTGTAAATTAGCAGTCTCAGGTATTTCTTTATAGCAATGTATGAATGGCATAATCCACCCTTTTTCTAAGATAGCAACTGGCTCTTCCATTGGGCAACAGCCCTTCCCAATTCTCAGCGTGAGGCTGACCCTATTTTTTGGCCATCTGGTCCAGGCCTGGCCAATCCACATTTCTCATCCCTCTGTTCACACTGATTGGTCCAGAAATGGACACTTGATCTTAGTCAGAATACTACTATTCAATGATAAAATTTCTGCCGGTGCTATTGAGAAAGTGACTCCCTTTCTTTCTGCTACAATTGCTGAGTTGATAAGACAGGATGGTGCCTCTGGGAGTCATTTTGCATCTTCTGGGGAGAGCCTGCCTGAGACTGAATCCCACAGAGAGAAATGCAAAGCTAAACAAAGAGAGAGGGAGCGAGAGACAGAAAAAGAGAGAGAAAGATGTCTACTGACATCATTTGCCAACTGGCTCCAGCTGTCTTGATCTTACCTTCCCAGCTGTGAACTCATACATTCCCTTTTTTGCCTAAGCCAGTTTGAGTTCAGTTGCTGTCATTTGTAACTGAGAATCCTGATGAATACATCTTTTATAGTCAAGGGCACATTTTTGCAAGACAATTTCCTTCAGTTAAGTTGAGGGGCTTTGCTGTGTGTATGTAAATATTTTTCTCGATGAAACTTGCATAGGTGGTTTGTATATATTACATGGAGACACTGGTAGAGCCAGGTTTATGAAATACCCCCAACAGATCGGGAGGCAGATTTGGAGGGAAATGATGCCAGTCTGTTTACTGTGAAGCAGCCGTGGGAAGCAGGAAGACACTCATAATTTCTCAGCGTCATCTGGATTCCATGGTCTGAGTGAGATGGAATGGAGTGGCTTGGGGAGTGAGGAGGAGAGTGGGGCCGGATTCTTCTGTAGATATTGCCCTGGTGCTGCAAATGGGTGAGGGAGACGAGATCTGCTGCTTTACTTTCCTTCTTCTTTCAGCCTGCCCTTATCAGCTGTTGCTATTGGAACTTCCAGAACCTGTGCCTCCAAGTCTCAATATCCTTGTTAACACCTCTGATAATAATCCTACCTTATACCCCTGGACTAAGACTCATCTAAACATGATGTAATCATCTGATTTCAATTGGCCCAGCCATCTGGAAAAGGTACCTTTCAATCATTTGGTTGCTCTGAAACTAAGCCTAAAATTACCACATCTATATTTAGTGACTTCCTAAACACAGTATCAATAAATATGGCTTCTTATTGCAAAGCTGGATAATTGCACTTATTCTTGTTAACATCTCATGTGCTTCAAAGAGTAATTACAGACAATGAGAAAGTTTAGGTTCAAAGGATTGTGCATATTATCGAATAATGAATGAAGAGTGCTTGAAAGGTGTGATGGGGTTAATCACTGAGGGCTAAAACGGTCTGCTCGTGCATCGCTAAGGGAGAAGCAGCATAAGCTCTTCCACGGTGTACAATTGATGCAACTCCACACCAGCCTAAATTCTGAAACCCTAACCACCGGGAAAACAAAAGAAGTGCTATTAAGAAATGAATGGGTTCAGTGGAGGCAGGAGTGTGTATATGTGTGTGTGTGTGGGAGGGGGCTGGGGGATAGGGGTGTGTGTGTGTGTGTGTGTGTGTAAAGTCCAGTAAAACTAACCTGTGATGATTAGCAAGAACTTCCTGCTTATGGTCTTGTCTCTCTTAACTTCATTTATTTATTAATTTTTTATATTCAATTCATTCATTCATTTAAAAAATAGTGAGACTCCACTTATGTTGCAGAAATTGTATCATGTGCTGGGTATAAAATGAGGCTGCCCTCACAAAGCTTATAGTCCATCTGGGAGACAGATGTTAAACTACAACGGTGATAATCACTGCAGAGCAAAGTTACAGTGTGAGATGCTGTAATCTAACCCAGTTTACAAAGGTCAGGACAGATTTCCCTGAGGACCTGACATTGAAGCTGAAGCCAGAAGGAGAAGGAGGAGTTAGATCAGCAGAAAACAGTAGAAAGCGTGAAGGCCCTGAGATGGGGAACAGCTGGCTCCTTGTAAAGGTGGGAAGAATGTTAGAGAGGTTGGAGGAAGGTGAATAAGGCTGGAGAATAAGTGAAGCTGGAGATGTGGGCTGGGGCCAGAGCAGGTGGAGCCTCTTGACCCTGTATAAGAGGCTGAACTTTATCTCAAAGCTGTCAGAGCCACACCACTGACAGGTTATATGGGAAACTTTACATTTTCTTTTTAAATTAAATTTAATTTCCTTTTAGAGACAGGGTCTCACTCTGTTGCCCAGGCTGAAGTGCGGTGGCACAATCATAGCTCTCTACAGCTTTGAACTCCTAGCATCAAGCAATCGTGCCAGGAAGGGGTTTGGGGCAGATCATGAGAAGGGTAAGCATTGCCTAGCACGGCACTTGTCTAAGGTGAAGGCTTTTCAAGTAAGGGTGTGTGTGTGTGCAGGGGGAGGCTCTGTCTTCCAACAATGGAAAATGGGCCTTCACTACAAATTTGGAGAGTTCAAGGAAATCAAGGTACGACCTCGAGGCATCAAGATTCTCAAGTGCATCTACCCAGGTAGCCCCATCCCAGTTCTCAGCACTCACTTCTTCCTCATGGAGGGTCGATTTTTTCTGGGAGATTGGCTTTTGCAGGGAATCCAGGCTTTTCTCAAGTTCTGCCATTCTTATAGTTAAGTCTTCAAGCCACAGGAGATGGGAGTCACTGTAAAAACTGCAAAGAGTTTTCTTCTTTTGCTTTAAATTGTTGATTAATAGATCTGCCAACAGATCTATCGATCAATAGATCACTTCCTCTCTTTGTTAAATCAGTTCCCCAGTCCTTACAGTTACTATTTTCTTCATACCTTCCAAACACCTGTCTCATTGCACCAGTCCACATAACTCTTTCCACTTTTATCTCATCCCAGTTCTTCATAGGTAATGGTCTTAGCAATCAGCAGGCCAGGGATTAGCCTTGTCTCCCACCAGTGATGTGGTTCTTCTTTCCATCCTGCAGCCTGGTGATCCAGCTAGAGGATTCCATATCTAGTATTGCTTCCTAGAACCATATGCCATACCAACTCTTAGACTGGATTCCCTGAAAGTGGCATCTGGTGTGGGATTTCTTGTTGAGGTTATTATTGGGAGAGTGCTCTCCGGAGAAGAGGCATGAGAGAATCAGAAGTAGGGTATGGGAGAAAACTAAACAAGGATGTGGCTCCCCTGGAGACTAGCTTCCCCTTGTGGAAGATCTGGAGCAGAAGTTGCACCGCAGAACTGGCCCCACCTGGGGTAGGGAGGCCTGTCTTGGATACATGAGTGAGTACTGGCTGTGGTCTGCATTGCATGTCGCAACTTCCCCCAAACACACGCATAAAGAGCTGGCAACTCTCCATTTTTTTTTTTTTTTTTTTTTTTTTTTGGTTTTGACATGGAGCCTTGCTCTGTCACCCAGGCTGGAGTGCAGTGATACGATCTCAGCTACACTGCAACCTCCGCCTCCCAGGTTCAAGCGATTCTCCTGCCTCAGCTTCCCAATTAGCTGGGATTACAGGCTCACACCACTGTGCCCGGCTAATTTTTGTATTTTTAGTAGAGATGGGATTTCACTATGTTGGCCAGGTTGGTCTCGAACTCCTGACCTCAAGTGATCCGCCCGCCTCAGCCTCCCAAAGTGCTGGGAATACAGGCATAAGCCACCACACCCTGCCTCTGTATTGTTATTATCAGCCAACACACACACACTTAGGGGATGGGTGCTCCAGGAGTAAAGATGGCAAACAACATCCAATTATAGCTGTTATTATTATCCATCATAACTGATAATATTATCAAAAGGCAGTTCATATTTTTGCAGTTGGAAAAAGTTTCCCTTCAATGGTGGCTGTGAAACTGGTGCTATATTTTTTCTCCTACAAAAGGCTATGTTTTCCTTAATGTTCACCTGTAAAATTAAGTAGAAAAGCCTATTAATTTGAAGGGAAAATGCAAGTGAATTTATTAATGAAGTGTTAACAAAAAGGTTTATTGTAGCAAGGTTCTCTTCTCATTCCCTACGAGGCCTCTTACCACATACTCACATATATTTCTCCCCTAAGAATGTCTGTCTGTTGGTTTCCGAGGTAAGAACGCGGTTTTTTGTTTTTGTTTTTGTCTGCTGTAATCGAAGCAAGTTTCCAAGTTGGTGAATTAATCCACTGTGCCCTGCTTACACCTAACTAGTTAAGAAGGATACAATATCATATTATATATGCACAAAGATATATACTTTAATATATGAACCAGAATTAATTAATGCTTCATGCAGAAAAATCCATTTTGCCTCAATATGTAAGCACTTGAGAAATGTGTTTCTCTGAAAGCTTCTGGGAAACTGCTAGAGTGATCTATTGAACTATAAACGTAAATCTACTTATAATTTATAAGCAAATAAGCCTCAGGCATGTTTTTATAGTTTCAGCCTTCTCTGGCTAGTCTTCACAGCAGAAAAGAAAAGAAGTACTTTTTGAGAGTAACTCAAATTTTCTTCCCACATTCGGTATACGTGAAGGAATTTGGAGAAATTTTGCATTTGGTGGAAACCCATTTATAAATTTTCTTGTGAAAATATTATAACCATTGTAGCAATCTTGGGGACAGGAAGTACTTGATCTTTGTTCAAGCCATCGGTTACAAAATATTGGAAGTGAAAGCTGCTGAGGTCTGCGGTGCAGGGGTAGTGGGCCGAAGTATCTTGTTAAAAGGGAAGGACTTATACATTTCAGCATTCATGTACATTTGTTAGACCACAAGTAATTATGACCTTTTTGGGGAAAAAAAAATGCAATGGAGGTGAATTGTTTCCCTTGCCAGGAGACAGAATTTTTGAGCAGCTCTCTGGAGAGCAATAATGGCCCAGCATGGGTTTGATTAATTTGCAACTGGAAAGGTATTAACTTGAGGAAAGTGTTCAAGAAATATTTGGAAGTTATGGTTTCTCTATTGGACTGCCTTGAAGATTTAGATGTCCCCCCAGGTGCTATGTGATCAGTAAGAAATGCAGTGACTCCTGAGCTTTTGGAGGTGGGTGATGAAGGGTGATGGTGATATGTTGAAGAAAATCAGATTTTCTCTTTTTTGTCAGGAGTGGTGGCTCAGTTGGATGCAAACTAGCTAACATTTATTGAGGACTGAAAATGTTCCAGGCACTGTCTGAGAACTTTTCTTGTTTATGAGAGAGGTACTACTGTGATCCACTTTCCACAGATAAGAAAAGAGAGATTAAGTAATTTGCCTCTGGTCACCCAGCTAGTTAGGAATAAAATTGAAACCTAAATAGTTTGACTCCAGGGCACATGCTCTTAGCTTTTTGGTGACACAGCTTCCAAGGATATAACCATAACCAGGAGAAGGAACTTGTAGGCTTATATCACACTCCAGTTATTCTGAAGCAAGGTTGTGTCCTTGCAAAGTTAAATGAGGAATTGGATTATTTTCTTATATATTCTATCAATTCTATTTTGCAGCCCATCTATTCTGGAAAAGTTAAGGTTGGTGGTGGTGGTTCCTGGGTCTTCGGCTATTATTTTTTCAGTCTACTTTCATAAATTCTCCACTTAATTTTGAGTCTGTACCAGTTGAAAAGAACCAAAGTAGGGTGATACAAATGAAGAAAGTAGCCTGAATCTGACTTCAAGCATATCTTCTGTACCAATGTGAACTTATAGAAGGATTTCAGTGAGACATATGTAACTTTAGCTGGGAAAAAGAGTTGGAGTGATCATGACCCTCAAAGATCACCTGGAGATGTGGGAACTAAGAGTGACTGAAGGCCAGCGACTTGGCCAACATCATGCAGAATGGCTCAGAGAAGGCTTTAAAGGGAGCCTAGCATGGGCGCTTCCTGGAACGGGGCTCTTTCCTCAGTGTGCCCTTTAAATGGAAGGCTCAGCTATCAGGCAACACTTGACAAATCGCAGTGAAAAGTAACAGATCTGGTGACAAGGTGTTTACTGACAAAGAGACAAACTCAAATGGAAAAATGTTCTTATAGGAACTCTCTTGGGCCCTTCAGCCACAGAGTGTCCTCTGGGGAAGAATACATTTGGCTCAAGTTCACTCTGGTAGAAAAGATGCTGGGCAATGAGGTGGTGGGGGCTGGTTGGAAGGGTGATAATGACAAGTTGGCAACCAAAAACAGAGTAAAGCAGATTTATGGCTTGAAAACCTAACCCAAACCACAACTGTGAAGTGCCAGGGATCTCAGGGGGTTTGCTATTTGGGGAAATCAGGCCAATTTCTTCTTCATATGTCTAGATCTTTTGAATACATCATGCTAATATTATCCTACCTTGGACAGTTGTGAAAATAGTTCAATGGTGATTGATTTACATATTCCAAAAATGTTCCTATTCTAGAAATTAATTTAAAACATCACAGCTATAAGGAATAACTATTTATGCTTCAAGTTTCCAGGCACATAGGTATTTACTGACTGAATAAATCAAGGAATATTTGCTGTAGCCAGGACATTATGTGCCTGGTCAATCCTTATCTATTTTGACATGGAATGAAATATTAAATTTATGATCAAAACATGTCTTTTTAATTATTTACTAAAATTTAATTAAATAACTGTCAGTATCATTTGCATAATACTTTTTGGACTGCTCTGTACAATTTCTTTAAAGCCTCGAAGAGTTTTGTTCATAGTGTGAGAACATGAGAGACACCTTAAGGTTTACATGCATTTAACTTCCTGTACAATTAAATTTCTGCTTTTCTATTCAGCCTACCTTGTTAAATGGGGATAAAACGGTCTTGTACAAACTCAATAGGAATATTGCAGAACCAATGAGGAAATGCCCAAAGCTCTTTGATAATCTTACTTGTGTATGCCTGGTAATTGTATTAATTAAAATGTCTTTTGCCAGCAGCACAGAAGTGGATTTTTAGTCTTTGAAATAAGTTGATTTTCAACCTGGCAATGTAGTTAAATTTGGATTCATTTTGAAATATAAGTATTTTAGAGTAGGAAAAAAATGGGTCATTTTCCTCTCTAAAGGAAACCATAACTCCTCAGAGAAATGGTTGATTCTGGGTCTGGGTCTGCAAATGCATGTGGTGATACTGGGACGTCCCATTGTGCTGAAAAGGAAGGAAGGAAGATATCAAAGACTACTGAGCACATGTCAAGAAAATGCAGAACCTGTGCTGAAGGACTCCCACTGCCAAAGGTGGGAGACTTTGAGCAGCCAAAAAAGAATAATGACTACAACTGGCTGAAATATATTGATTATATAAAAATTCATAAGGTCATAAAAATAATGGAAACAGGAAAGAAAAAAGTTCTCAAGAGTTGTCTGTCCCCTTTGCAGATGGCTGGTGCATCAAACTAATGCTCTGAAAATTAGTGATTCAAGTAAAAAAATTAAGGATTTCTCTATCCTCTCTGTATAAGTTGTATCTCAGGATGCCCAAATTGCCTTAGTGGTTGAAGAATGATTTTTTAAGCAAAAGATATTTAGTTATTACATGTAGAAGAAATGACCAAATTATCAAATCTCAGTTTTTCATCCCCCAAAGAAATAAATGAGTCAGGCAATTGTTATCAATTGTTATCAAAATGGATGCAAAGGCTGGGCATGGTAGCTCATGTCTGTAATCTCAGCACTTTGGCAGGCTGAGATGGGCAGATCACCAAAGGTCAGGAGTTTGAGATCAGTGTGTCCAACAGGGTAAAATCCTTTCTCTACTAAAATACAAAAATTAGCCAGGCATGATGGTGGGAATCTGTAGTCCCAGCTACTCAGGAGGCTGAGGCAGGAGAATCGCTTGAACCTGGGAGGTGGAGGTTGCAGTGAGCTGAGACTGCAGCATTACACTCCAGGCTGGACAACAGAGCAAGACTGTTTCAAAAAAGGATGCCAAAAGGATTAAGTGAAAGATTTCTAGGAAACTGGATATTTGAATGGTGTCAGGGTACTCATCCACAGTAGAAGAGAGGAAAGTCAGCATCATAATTAGGAGATTGCTGTCTGCACCACCTGATCAATCCTAGCATCTTTAAAAGTAGGACACCCAGACACCATGTGCCTCCTGGGAGAAGCAATATGAAATTGACAGCACCACCTAAAATATTCTTGCAAAAATCTTAAGCTTGAGTCTCATTGTTTTGTAGGCAATACTAGGGACAGAGGAATTAACTACATGATGCCACAAGCTAACAATTAGAAAAATCCAGAATGCGGGACATTTCATAGGACCATTGACTTTGTTTCCTTAATAAATCTCTTGGCTTAGACGAAAAAGCAGGGAGGACCTCTCTGTAAAAAGACAGTTTGAAGATAATCAGGAAAATTAAAAAAAAAAAAAAACAAGATATTAGAGGATAGCAAGAAATTATTGTAAATTTTGCTAGGAGTCATCAATATTGTAGTTATGCAGAAAATGTCTTAGTTTTTAGCAATGCTTATTGAAGTATTCAAGAGTAAAATGTCATAATTCTGGGCTTTGCTTTAAAACAAATATGATACATATGGCAAAATATTAATAAATGTTAATCTAGGTGCTGGAAATATGGGGGCTCATTACATTATTCTCCCTCCTTTTTTTCTTTTTTTAATTTTTTTGAGA
Organism: Homo sapiens; assembly: GCF_000001405.40. Classification (NCBI taxonomy): domain Eukaryota; kingdom Metazoa; phylum Chordata; class Mammalia; order Primates; family Hominidae; genus Homo; species Homo sapiens. Next base: position 110,038,067 of record NC_000004.12, read on the forward strand.
CAGCATCTCATCTGTCACCCAGGCTGGAGTGCAGTGGCACAAACATAGCTCACCACAGCCTCGCTCTCCTGGGCTCAAGAGATCCTCCCACCTCAGCCTCCTGAGTAGCTGGTACTACAGGCGTGCACCACCATGCCTCGCTAATTTTTTTGTTTTTGTTTTGCTTTTTTTTAGTTTTGTAGAAATGGGGGTTTGCCATATTGCCCAGGCTGGTCTCAAACTCCTGAATTCAAGCAGTCCTCCCATGGTGGCCTCCCAAAGTCCTGGGATTACAGGCGTGAGCCACCACACCTGGCCTCTTTACTTTTATATATGTTTAAGAGTTTTCATAATAAGAAGTTTAACCAGCAGTTAGGCACAATAAAATTACTTATAAATTAAGCTCTCAAGAGCAGTTCACAATATAGACAAACCTTCACATTGCTTTTAAAAAATATGCATATATGTAAATATGAGACATTTTGATAGGGACTAAAATCATTTTTTGCATGTGTTAAAGGCTTTTCTTGATAAACAATGTCTACGTAATAAAAAGAAGAAAGGAGAGGTAAACAGGCTATAATATTTTATTTGTTAGGGATACCTGGCTTTATTCTAGTTTCAGAGCTGGGACCTGGATGAAGGCTGAAATCCATCAACTAGAACTACAAGTCTGAGAGAAATATGCTGTTATAATTAAAATGTAGTTACTGTAATATAATTGGAAAGTAATATGGAAGTATAAAGTATACCAAAATCCCAGACAAAGAGAGTGCTTTTTAGTGGCATTATGCTGAAATCAAATGAGGTTTATATAATTCCCATTGTTAAAGCAAAATGCATAACCTAAAACCTCAAAATGCAATTAATCTAATTTGAATGAACAAACAGCAGTTGTGCTTCCTCAGTCCGGGCGCAGCTTCTGACAATTTATACAGTTTTCTTCCCATGATCTCCTTACAGACATTTTTAAAGGTTTTTTTTGTTTTGTTTTGTTTTGTTTTTGAGACAGAGTCTCACCTGTCGCCCAGGCTGGAGTGCAGTGGCAAGATCTTGGCTCACTGCAACCTCCACCTCCCGAGTTCAAGCAATTCTCCTACTTCGGCCTCCCAAGTAGCTGGGATTACAGGCGTGTTTCACCATGTGCGGCTAATTTTCATATTTTTAGTAAAGATGGGGTTTTGCCATGTTAGCCAGGCTGGTCTCGAACCCCTGACCTCAAGTGATTTGCCTGCCTCGGCCTCCCAAAGTGCTGGGGTTACAAGTGTGAGCCACCGTGCCCGGCTCATTTTTAAAGGTTTATTTGTGAGTTTATCGGTGTATTAGTCGTTTTCACACCGCTGCAAAGAACTGCCCAAGACTGGGTAATATACAAAGAAAAGAGGCTTAATTGACTCACAGTTCCGCATGGCTGGGGAGGTCTCCGGAAACTTACAATCATGGTGGAAGATGGAGGGGAAGCAAAGACCTTCTTCACAGGGCAGCAGGAAAGAGAGAGCTAGTGAAGGAAGAACTTGCCAAACACTTATAAAGCCATCAGATCTTATGAGAACTCCCTCACTATCATGAGAACAGCATGGGGAAAATTGCTCCCATGATCCAATCACCTTCTACCTGGTCCGTCCCTCAACACCTGGGAATTACAATTCAAGATGAGATTTGGGTGGAGCACAAAGCCTAAACATAATCAAACAGCAAGTGAATAGGTGTACATTTGATGCTTCTAGTGAGTAATATTTCACTCACTACTTTTGAGTGACAAGTGACTATTTAATTAGCTTAGAATTTTATATGTAAACTCCACAGTTTTAGGGTTTGAATATACTAATCATTTGGGAATTGTCTGTTTCGAGAGTCAAGTTTATTTTACTGAAAAACCTCATAGAAAGACACACATGATCTTGACAGACTTGTCCATCAGGACCATGATAAAGGCCATTCTATTTTAAACTCAGATGTTTGTGTTTGTAGTAATACCCTTAGCAATTCCAAATTGCTTTATGCAGAAACTGATATTTAAGCTATACAATATAGATATTCATTTCTGTCTCCCGAGGAAATTTTTTATTGCATCATTTGTGCTAGAAGTAGTTTTATCATGAAGAATGATCTTTAGGACAGATTAAAAATATATTGCTCAAATAGCAGACACTCAGGTGAAATTGTTTTCTTTCTTTCAAAAGCCTTGGCTAATTAATCATACATAAGTATTAGAAACAGCAAACAAAATACAAGCTACAATGAATATGTCAAAATATACTTTACATTTTCCCTAATAGAGGTATAGTTTTTTACCTAGCACCTCATTCTCTGTTAGTCTGGAAAAGATGTTTGTTTATAGTTTCATTTACAGTTTGTGTTATAATAACAAGACAGAGAAGTTCCATAGGTAAATTTCTGTAGTATCACAGTGAAGAATAAATAGAGGCTTATGTGTAGACCACCCAGAAAAAAGAAGTTAAGAAGTAACACAATAGTAGTAGTAGTAATACTATTAGCTAACATTAAGCAATTACTATGTACCAAGTAACTATGCTGTTATGGTTTGAATGTGTCCCATAAAGTTCATGTGTTGGAAACTTAACCCTAATGCAACAGCATCGAAAGATGGAACCTGGAATAGGTGATTAGGCCATGAGGGTTTTGCCCTTATAAATGGATTAGTGTTATTATTGTGGGAGTGGGTTAGTTATCCAGAGAGTGGGTTTCTGATAGAAGGACGAGTTCTGCCCACTTCTCTCTCTCTCCCCTCTGTAGCCCTCACCTCTGTCTCCCTCTCTCTCTCTCTCTCTTACCTTTCCACCTTCCACCATGGGATGATGCAGCAAGAAGCCCTTGCCAGATGCAGGTCTCTTGACTTTGGACTTCCCAGCCTACAGAACTATAGGAAGTAAATCTCCATTTTTCATAAATGATCCAGTATTAGATGTTCTGTTATAGCAGCACAAAATGTATTAAGAGACATGCTAAGGGCTTTACAAGTATTATCTAATTTAATCCTCATAACAACTCTATGCAGTGGGTACCATTTATTTATTTATTTATTTATTTGAGACAGAGTCTTGTTCTTGTCACCCAGGCTGGAGTGCAATGGTGCGATCTCAGCTCACTGCAACCTCTGCCTCCTGGGTTCAAGCGATTCTCCTGCCTCAGCCTCCTGAGTAGCTGGGATTACAGGTCCCCACCACCACACCCAGATACTTTTTGTATTTTTAGTAGAGATGGGGTTTCACCATGTTGGCCAGGCTGGTCTCGAACTCCTGACTTCAGGTGATCCACCCGGCTCGGCCTCCCAAAGTCCTGGGATTACAGGCATGAGCCACCACACCCGGCCTGCAGTAGGTATCATTATTATTGTGTGCATGAGGAAACTGAGACACAGAGTGGGCAAATAACCATCCCCAAGCAGATGGCAGTTAAACTCCAAAGCCTTTGTTCTGAAGTCTTAGGCAAGAACTTTTGCTAATCACAGTCACAATATTACAGAAGATTGTAAAATTTCCAGTGGAATAAGCAAATAGTCATAATCCAATGGCTCAAAACACAGTTCTGCCTGTTTAAAAGTATAAAACGAAAAATCACAAGGAATTTCTCAACACACACACACACAGACACTCATGCAGACACACACACTAAACATACAGACATGTGGCGAAGATAGAGATCTATTATGGTACCTACAACCATAGGCTAAAATGCATTTATTCTTTCAACAAATATTTAGCCTTCTACAGGGGCCTGGAATTTCAGGAGAGAACAGGCAAGCTTGATTCCTGTCCTACAGAGCTTGTAATCTATTAAAGAAGACAGATGTTGAATAGACAGCACACAAATAACTAAGTATATATTTACTGGGGTCAAAGTCCCATAAAGTAGAAAAGCACAGTGCTCTGATAACATACCAGGGAGCCCCAGCCTGCACTTCCCAGGAAGAGGAAGTGGGCACGTGTGATAGCCATGAATCAGAAGTGGAGAAAATCCACATAATTACTGTGATTTTCTGCAGTTTGATCTTTCAATTCAAAAAACTGATTTTCACTGGAAAGGCAAGGACTTGTGTTGTTTTAAGCATTTTTGTACTTTGTTACTTCTTTACATATGTAGCATGGTGGCTGGGTGGAATTTAAGTGGGTCTCAGGGACGTCCGCGCCCGTGGTGGGGCAGGTTATAGGGAGCCTTCAGGAGATCTAGGGCTTCTAGAAAAGGAACTCACTTCTGCTGGGCCCAGATATGTCTGAGCAGGTCCGGGAAGCTGGTGTGGTGGCCACAGGTCTATTTGCAATGGAGGTGAGGATGTTCCAGAAAGGGCATTCATCCATGGGGAAGAAGGTAATAGGTCTAATGAGTTCAACCTGAGGAAAGCTTTGACCCATGCAGGGGAGGAAGTAGAGATTCTGCCGCAGCGCAGTGGCCATTCCCCGAATCTATTCCCTGGCCCCCTAATGCGTGTCTGGCTCTTGAGTTGAGGGGGCCAGCTTTCTCCCACAGAAAGTCTAATTAAGGGAAAAGGGGCATCTGGCCCCACTGCAGAGCAGAGGAACCGTTGCCTTTCTGGGAGAAGGGGGATGCCTGCTGAGACTTGCTGAACCTGACTGTGCACAGCGATTTCAGGGCCCGGTGGAGAGATGCAACAGCAGCTGCGCCTGGCAGGGATGGGTGGGTGGGAGGGTGGGAGATGGGGTGACCACATAAAAGAAATGCCTGGTAGAGGCTGCGAGACTCACTCTGGCAATTTCCAGAATTAGATGCGAGGGACTTGGCAGGAAGTCAGAGGTCCTGCATCAGTGGGAGCTACAAACCGGCACAAAAAAAAAAAAAAAAAAAATTTAAATTGCCTCTGTAGGCTAAGGGGTCCTAGGGAAACTTAGGTTAGATGTAAATGAACAAATGAGTTGGCATGGCAGCCTAAGTCTATTTGAAAGCTAAGCAGGTTTATTTATATTCTATCGATTTCATTATTCTAAAACTAAGTTGAAATTAGAACTGCTTCTAATTCAGAAAAAGTGCTTGTTTTGCAAAAAAGCTCTGGTGTTTTGTAGTAACTCATATATAACTGTGAGCAGTAGTGGACGCAGGAATAGTGAACCCTGTTTTTCTTTTCTTCGTAGAGAGATATTAACAGCCTTAGCAAATACTCACTGGAGTTTTCACAAATAAAACATAGCAGAGAAATACCCAGAGGGATAAGTTTTCCCTCTAGTATGAAAGGAATTAGTGTAGTCAATAGAAAAGCAAGCTGTGTGTGAAACCCCAGAGTGTAGCACAGGGTTTTCACCCTGGGTGGGGGGCTGAAAATACCGAAGATGACAGAATCCAGTGGTGAGACGGGTGGCATGTCAGGAGGGGGCTGTGGTATGTGTTTAACCCTTAGGCTGCCACGGTGCTTTCATAGTGTGCATGTATGATTTTCCCCAAATAAATACATATTCTGTGATGCATAATAAGGCAAAATCCTAAAGGTTCCTTCCTTCAACTATTATATAGATGAAAACAATGAAAAGCAGTTAAACTTAAAATGGATATAGGTTAGGCGTGGTGGCTGATGCCTGTAAATCTCAACACTTTAGAAGGCCAAGGCAGGAGGATAACTTGAGCCTAGGAGTTTGAGACCAGCCTAGGCAATATAAGGAGACCCCGTCTCTACAGATAATGAAAAATTAGCTAGGCACAGTGGCATGTGCCTGTGTTCCCAGCTACTCGACAGGTTGAGGTTGCAGGGAAAGGTGATCGCGCCACTGCACTCCAGCCTAGGCGACAGAGCAAGACATGGTCTCAAAAAAGAAATAATAAACAAATAAAACAGATATAAAAATATAAAAGGGATAAAATGGGATAATTAATTAGATAACAGTCTCTTTTAGATCAGTAGCGTCCAATCTTTCCTGACCTAGGGCTCCTCGTCTTGCCTGGAGTCCTTTGCTTAGTGAGATGGTGCTACGGGCAGAGGGCACATGTGAATTCTGGACGTGTGTATCTAGTTTTGTGAGGCTGGGGGGACACAATGTAGCCCCTCCTCCTCCACACACACGCTGTGTAAGTCCCTGCACTCAGCTGGGTCTCCCTGTTTGGTCTCAGGTAGCAGTGTCTGGTAATAACTGAGACCCTGTCCCAGACCTACCGAGGCTGGAGATTAATCAGCTGCAGACCAACCAGTGAGGAGCTGTTTCAGTTATTTTAACTGTCTTGCCCATTGATTTAGAACACCCACCTAAATTCATTTATTCTAAAAAAAAAAAAAAAAAAAAAAAAAAAAACAACCAGCCAGGAGTGGTTACATTCCCAAAATATTGGTGTTGTGAACCCGTTTTTGTTCTTTCATAGGAAACCTGCTCTATTATATCTTGGTCTTGGAGTTCCATAAGTACAGCATTTTTGTTGGCTAGACAGTGATATGCTTGTATGTTTTAATGCTTGCTTTATTAATTTCTGAAACATCCACTTTTTGAGACATGTAACAGAAGCTACATGATGGCACTATCATCTGTATTAGGTTTCTGGGACTTTGATAACAAAACAGAAACGCTCCCTGAAGTCTGATTTTCCTCCCCCTCCCCATCCCTTTTTGAAGTTAATAAAAACACTTTGTGTGCAGGATGGATTTTTCCCCATTTGACCCTAAGTTAAGAAAATACATTAAATAGATTGCAAAGTTCCATCTTAACAATTCTGAGATGTGAAAAGAGGCAATAATTTGGCCATGAGAAACCTGCACAAATAACGGTTTCTTGGGTTTTAAATATAAATGCTGTAGGGACATTGCTTTTGTACACATTGTAACAATGTGCCAAAAGGTGATGAAGAATGACAAACTATTTCACCTATAAAGTGTGCCAAAGAACTTTCCAGAACACTGGAATTTGAAGGCTAAATTATTTAGGGATCAGGGAGTGGATGACTTGGATTACTCCTACTAGTATCTGGCAGGCGTGAGTAACCTATTGCACCATTAACTAAGAAGGAGGTGCTGTACCCGTTGTTTTCCCTAAAATATATTTTGTCCTGAGACGCTCTGTCCAATAGTGCCAAGTATTAGAATTTTATTCATTTATATTCTCATTCTTTTCAAAATATTGAATGGCTGCAGCAAAATCCAAGCTAAGATTATGTCCAAATCTCACTTCTGTAACACTGGATCTAACAAGCACATTTTTCTCATCTATAAAAATGGAGTTTCAATTTAGACCATCTGCCCCATTAAGACTGCTCTGGCGGCCGGGCGCAGTGGCTCATGCCTGTAATTCAGCATTTTGGGAGGCCGAGGCAGGCGGATCATGAGGTCAGGGGTTCGAGACCAGCCTGACCAACATGGTGAAACCCAGTCTCTACTAAAAATACAAAAAGCCAGGCGTGGTGGTGCGCCCCTGTAATCCCAGCTACTCAGGAGGCTGAGGCAGAAGAATTGCTTGAACACAGGAGGCAGAAGTTGCAGTAAGCCAAGATCTTGCTGCTGCACTCCAGCCTGGGGGACAGAGCAAGACTCTATCCCCCCCACCCCCCAAAAAAATTGCTCTGGTGAACCAACAGAGGTAGAAAGCATATGAATTGTAAGATGCTCTATCAATCTATCAATGAAAGGCATTACTGAAGGGCTGGACATCTTATGGACATTTAGTCAGTAGTAGTTGAGGGCTACAGCATCTTTGGGCTCTACTAGAAAGCGAGGAGTTTTAGTGACTCATCTCTGTGCCCCAAGCCTATGGGTGTCAAGTGTGGAAATGGCATTTCTGAGTATTTGAGGAACCCTCAGTGTCCTAGATGTCCCATTTAAATTGCCCAGAGTAAGAGAAAACAGAAACACAGTTTGATTTTAAATCAAAAGTTATGATTTTATTTTTAATTTTAATACACCAGGAAAAAATATTTTTTTTAATGTCGTGAAATAAGCACTTGAAAATAACAACTTCAACATTGCTGTGATTTGCTCTGTGAGGCTTATATGGGTGGGCTTCCATATGAATATGGGCTCTGAGGTCCCCAAGAAGCTGAATCTTCCAGTGGTTTTCAAGATAGCAGCAAGCAACCTCCTGCCTGAATATGTCTAGACAGGCAGACCTGTTTGAAACGAGTATGACCAGGGAGGACTGTTAGGCTACTTCTGTGGCCTTCTTAGTTTTTGTCGATGGAAATAAAGTCTCAAGTGCTACTAAGCATTGGGAAAGTAACAGCATTTAAATACCAATGTCGAGTCAGAACCCTTCATGGCCGGCCCGAATGGGTTATAAATGTGGCTTGACCCTGACTTATGGGACCAGTTATTAATTTAACCAGTTACTTCAGAAGAGGTTACTACAATGCAGTGTTGGTTTGGACGTCTAGTGAAATATATTTTACTGTGAGACTTCTGCCTGCCCAGCCTAAAATCAAAGTGCCACTTTTGAGCTCTCCCAAGCCCCACTCACGAATGTGCTCCCACTGTCCATCTAACTTCTAGAACAACTTCCACATCACTTCCTTTAAAAAGTGTCAATCAGGAGGAAGGGAAGCCTGAGAATTCCCCCTGCCATCTGTGAGCTCTGAATTGTCAAAGTCTCTGAGGATGAGGAAAGTAACTTGATTCAACAGGTTTGTGTATGTTCTTCAAAGCTCTGTGCATGTGCCCTGTACCGGCCTCTTTAGCTATGAGTTGTGCCATATGGCTCGCAGATGTTTATAACTGGAGTCTGTCACAACAGCATTCAAGAAAATGCTGTGACTGCACTGACACTTGTTTTGTGTAAGTCTTGGACACCAGCATACAGAGGCTGTTGCTCATTGGCAAACTGGGACCTACCCCTTCATACTGATTGTCGGAACAAAATAGAGCATTGTGATTTCATCAGCTCTCACTTTAATGTGTATACACTACTGGCCAAATGTGGTGGTGGATCTTGGCAAAGTCTCTTCCTGATAGCAATGAGTCTGAGGCACAAAGAATCAGGTGTTGTATAGAAAAGACAAAGAACGATGTTTCAAAAGCTGTGGGAGACAATGACTCACAGCATGAACATAGGCTTTACGATCATCCTAAATTGAGAGCAAGGTATTTATTATCGAAAACAGAGACTGGAGAAAGACACTACATTTGACTACTGGGACATTCTGGGTGCTTATAAAATTTTGACATGATATTATTTTTCATGATGGAAACTTTTAAGGAATAAGTGTCTACAAGAGGTGGACATGGACCATGCTTATACAACTTAAAGCTCTGAACTCTGAGAGGCAAAGTCTATTTGTTCTCTACTCTCCTCACAGCCTCTTGAATCAGACCTTGGCCAATCCAGTTACTCTGTTAAAGAATCATTAAGGAAACCAAAAAAAAAAAAAAGCCCTCAGAATATGCCCTAGCTGCCTCGGTTGTGTGACACACACCGTGGTCTCTGAGTAGAGGCTGTACTATCAGAATAAAGAAAAAATAGTAACCTGAGCATCTTGTCTCTCCCAGGTAATTCAGAAGCTGGGGCTATGGCCAGACTTCTGGAACATTCTACTCTAGCATCACTGTACTCCAGGAGCTTTGTTACTCTGATGTGACAGGCTTTACCTTATGAAGATGCTACATCTGATTTAAAAAAACATTCTGGGCCAGGCACGGTGGCTCACGCCTATAATCCCAGCACTTTGGGAGACCAAGGCGGGTGGATCCCCTGAGGTCAGGAGCTCGAGACCAGCCTGGCCAACATGGTGAAACCCTGTCTCTACTAAAAATACAAAAATTAGCTGGGTGTGGTGGCGGGCGCCTGTAACCTCAGCTATTTGGGAGGCTGAGGCAGGAGAATTGCTGGAACCTGGGAGGCGGAGGTTGCAGTGAGTCTAGATCGCGCCACTGCACTCCAGCCTGGGCAACAACAGCAAGAATCCACCTCAAAAAAAAAAAAAAAAAAAAAAAGAAAGACATTCTGTGGGTCTCTTTCTGTTCTTCTAGGTTCCCACTGTCTTTCCCATCAATTCTACAAAACCCACTCATATGAAGTTTCTAACTCAGTCTAGACATATTAGTCTCTTTTCTCATCAGTTTCTTTACATGAGCAGAGAGGTGGAGAAGCGAGGGGATATAATCAAGCCTTTCTTTTCCCTCTAGCAATGTACATGTAAAGTATTCCCTCTTCTCCCCTTACTTTTGTAGTGGAGCATAATTAGAAGGATGGGAGTAAGTGACTTCGAATAACCACCTCAATCCATGGTTTTAATTTGGTACTTTGGCCTTGCGTTAGATGTAATATGGTAGTTACTCTTTTCCCATAAGCAACACTAGAAGGTCCACGTAAACCCCCTGCTTTATGAATAGAGCATTTCTCACTAGAACTTCATTGCAAACTCATGGACTTGGCTTGATGCTCAGACCTAGTGTATGAAATCATGTGTGTATGAAATAAAGGATTTTTTTTTAGCCCAAGAACAATGCTTTCACCATAGTAGGATCGGGATGCAGTGGAAAATCTTCAATAGAAAGATACTCTATTGCAGCATAGTGGGGCAGCTATAAAAACTTGCCTGCCCAAGTTTTTCTGGAATGTTAACTGGCAGCAGGATTATCTATGCAGCAGTCAATTCTCTGGTAGGTTTCAGATTTGTCATGGGCCAGTGATCCAGCCTCATATCTTGATATGATTAAAGCGGCTAAGCTGAGATGTTAAAAACAGTGTATTGAACCTATATTACCAAAATTTTGTTTTGTTTTGTTTTGTTTTAAAAAAAATGTGGCTTTTTTCCTCCCATGATAAACATTGGAAATGCCTTTAGATATATTTAGCTAATTTTAAAACTATTAAGACATTCACCCTGTAAACAAAAATTCCAAATTATTTTACAAGTAAAGACAAACAAACATGAACCTAATACCAAAATGAAAGTGCTTTGGAAGCATCATTTAGAGTCTTTTTAAGGTTTATGCTCACTTCCGTTTCTAACCTGCATTAAGAGATCTGCAATAAATCACTCAATTAAATAATTAAATCAACCAGATGAGCCTCCAATGGGTCCTTCAATTAAATTCAAGTCAACTGTTATGTGGCCTTCTCCTCATTTTAATTATTCTCATTTTCTGTTATAAGGAAAAAAGGCTTATTGCACGGTATCATGTATTTGCGAAGCTCAAAATAACATTTGCATCCTAAGCATCTATTAGCTCTTATAAAAGGACCTGTCTTTTCAGCTCATGTCAGATTTTGCATAATTTATAATACATTCCTCCATCAGTTGTGTCTCACCTATGAACCAACATCAAGACATTATAGACTGCTCACAATCATTTAACATAGATGTAACAGCTTTCCTCCCCTGCACTGTCCCCCACTCCCCATTTCTTCCAGTCATGACTTGGTTTGCATGGATTCTTTGTTCACTGCTCAAACCATTCACACAGAATGGAATAAAACTTTATTCTTTTTAAATTCCACACATAAACGAGATGCTGAAAAAGCCCTTGCCATCTCTGACAGAAAAGCAGAGCAGCTCTGTTTCATGAACGACAGCACAATTAAAGCTAAAATAATATAAAAATAATTCGAAAAAATCCCTTTTACTGTACACTCTCAAAGCAAGAAAGAGAAACAACAGTTTTGTTTTGTTTTTTTCTGCTAGCCAGAAAATGTGTTTCTATTCATTTGGGCTTTGAAGTTCAGTGTACCCCACATCTGTGTGTCTGTGTGTGTATGCGTGGCTATGTGCGTGTAATCTATGCAGTGTGGAAGCCCCTAATCTTTTCATCTAGTTTGCCTAATCATTAAGCTACTTAACCAATTATAATACTATTATGTCACATTGAACAACTTTACATAATTGCTTCTTTGAAATACTAGAAACATTGACACATGTATTTGGCTTGTAAAGGACTGAAATATTACAGAGAATATTATCCAGCTTTTTTTTTTTAAAGAATATGGCTCTTAATAAATTGATTTTGAGTTCCAGAGCTAAAGTCCCTTTTAAAACATTTCTGAAGCTGACTTGAAGCAGGATGAATATCTTCTGATTTGGCCAAAGACATGACAAGTATTTCATATCACTTAAAATTTGAGGGATAAGTGTATGGGGGCCCTTTGTTGTCAACTGTTTTCAGCCAAACTTGCCTTGAAGTTTGTTGTAGTATTGCCACTCAGCCAGCAGAGGGCCCTTTAAACACCTCTACATTGCTTGGGGAGCAAATGCAGATGATGCAGAAACACAGTGTTCCCCCAATATTTCGAACAGCCCTGTGATTTCCTTTTGGAATTCACAAAAATATCGAAAATATGCGCTATACTGTGGGGTTTCATTTGGAAAGTTATGAGTGTGTGTGAAGTCAAACAGGGAGGGGCATACACACCATCTGTCTGTCGAATTGATCTTCGGCTCACCTCTTTTCCCACTGCCTTTCTCCCTTTTCCAGCTCACAGTGGTCCTGGGCCGGGCCTTTTTACAAATACTACAGAACCCGTTTTCACATTGTTTGGTTGAGTGTTTATCTTTTTCAATTCTGTATTTACTCTTCTGTTCAAAAGCCCGGGGCAACTGAACAAAAGGATAATGCTTCATATCTCACTTAAGAGTAGAAATTACAGTTCAACTATCAGAAATGCTCTGGGATGGAGCTGCCCCCATGGGACCTGGGCTGCACTGTTTCCATCCTCCCAGGAAGAATCTTGGGGAAGTATTCACCCCCTTTGGTTTTGGCAAACTCACTAGCCTGAGGCTATGCAGTGAAGATGAAGTTAGTTGAAATATAGTTGTTTACATCTGTTTTCATAAGGATGATTAAGACATCTTTTCTCATGGGGTCTACAGCAGCTGGCATTTCTTAAAAAGGCTTTAGTTTCTGCAAAAGCATTATCGTTCTAGATATACACCCTGTGTCTCTTTCATTTTTGTCTTTTCTATTGGCTCCAGTTTAGTGTCCATAAAGTTAGAAAGGATTGTGTGTGTTGTGCTCGCACAGTTTCTAGAGTAAAAATCTTTCATCTTAGAGAAATGTGACACTTAGTAAATACATTTTTTCCTATGTGTTAATAGCCTTTGTTTGCCTTTGATTAGTCTCCTCTGCTTCTGGCTTGCTTTTGTTCTCCCTTGTCCTAGAGTTGATAGATAAAGAGGGAATGGGGTCTTCCAGCAGCAGTGCTTGGAGATGGAGGTGCACTCAGTGAGTCCTCACCCTAAAAGGATCATAAACTTACTGGGTTAAATCAACCTAATTATCCCTAAGCTGCCTTGGGTTTTGTGTTTGCTCATGTTTTGTTTTGTTTTAGCTGCACCACGTGTGATTCCTTGTGCCATTTTCTTTTGTCTATTATTTTTCTTGATGACCCTGAGCTATGGCTTCCTCCTCAGTTCCAACACTATTCAGCTTTCGTTGTTTTCCTCATTTTGCCGATGTAGGCCTCAAAGAAGAAATGGCAGAAGAGCACAAGGTAGCTGAGGTACATGAGTGAGGACCAGAAGATGTTCTGAAAGTGAGAGTGACACTGGTCATGCTGCATCCAGCAGAAGACCAGGTAGTTAACCACACAGCCCATCAGCATCTGAGTGATCTGGGACAAGGTGATGAACATGGCAAACTTCCGGGAGACTCGGAAACCTGCCGCCCGCAAGGCATAGTAAGAGTACATCACGGCGTGCACGCCATAGTTCATAGTCATGAACCAACCTCCCCCGGCAACCATGTCTTTGTAGGAGTACCAAGAGTACAGGAGCACAGTGATGTGGTGATACCAGTGCAGGAAGATCAGCTTCTGCTTCCTCAGAATAATGAATATTGTATCTCCTGGAAGACAAAGAGGAAGAAGGTACGTGAGATCCTTGACCACCAGTAACGATGACTTACAGTTTTGTAAGAGGGTAGACATCCTGAGCTAGGACTGGAGAGTTACATAGACTGGATTAGAACCCTGAACTGGTACTTACTAGCTCTGTGACCCTGGACAAGTTAGTTATCCTCACTATTTCTAGTTTCCTCATCTATATAAATGGTGATAATTTAAAAGAGTAGCATGGAATCACCTGAGGATTAAGTAGGATAATCAGCATGGCTCTCTTCACACACAGGAGGCAAGCAGCAAATGTTTCTTTCAAGGTATTTCACACAAAATCTTATCCATCATTGATCTGGAAGGGACATTAACAACTATGTTGCCAACTCCCAACTCAACTATACATTTTAGGAAATACCACCTGGAGGGGACTGGTGACTTGTCTTAGATCATTTATCAATCAAAGGAAACAGACTGGAAGTCAAGTGCCCAGCAAAATGTTCTAAGGCTTCTCTAGAGTAGTAAAACCATAATTTTTCTTTGGTACATGATAAAAGGTACCCCTCAAACATATATCTTTGTGAGCTCCCTAAATTACACAGCCTTGCCAAATGGCAGTGAGAAAAGTAAAACCTAAACAAAAGACAGAAAAAGGGGGACAAAAATCCTCTTCTATACACATTTGCTGACAAGGGTAATAGGAATATTTTATACCAGTGAATCAAGTGAGGAGCAATTGAAAATAACAGTTTTCATTTTACAGAATTAACTGAAAAGATTTCCAGGATCTATCAAAATTTTGTCTAACAATATCCCTTTGAAGGAAAAGACCATAGCTTCTGAGGCAGGGAATTTATATTATGAAAGCTAGAATTATGCTGAGGTGGGTAGATGCTATGTATCTGCAATGCTTCACTGAAAAGTTTCAGGGCTCTGAAAATAGACTGTAGAACATTTATGTAAAATTGGATGAAGAGCAAGCCCAGTGAAAAATATACCCAATTACATTAGCGAGTAAGAAAATAAGGGAAGTTACGCTAGGATGTGTGACAGAAACAGGCTAATGCAGGTGAATGCGTCTTTCTCCTTCCTATCTCTATGGTTATGAGACATGGGAAAAATCGACATCCTTCATGACCTTTGGTGAACTCAAACCTGGCTTCTTTTTGTGTAAAAAACAAAAGCTAGAAGGTTCTTTTAATTTTTTGTTTGTTTTTGAGACAGGGTCTTGCCCTGTCACCTACGTGCCATCGCAGCTCACTGAAAACTTGATCTCCTGGGCTCAAGTGATCCTCCCACTGCAGCCTAAGGAATAGCTGAGACTGCAGGCATGTGCCACCATGCCCAGCTAATTTAAAAAAACTTTTTTAGTAGAGATGAGGTCTTGAACTCCTGAGCTCAAGCTATCCACCAGCCTCGGCCTCCTAAAGTGCTGGGACTATAGGCGTGAGCCACCGCCCTGAGAACCCGGCCCTGGTTCTTCTTCTTCTTCTGAAATTTAATTAAGCGCAACAAAACAAAACAAAACAAAGAAAAACTAGTACTTATTCCTACCTTATCCCTCATGTACTTCACAGATGGCCTAAAACGCTTGCACTCAGCAAGGTCAAAGAATGCTGGACTATGGGGAAAGACTTCTAAGGTTCTAATGGCAGTGGCTGGAAAGATACAGGTGGTGCCCCATTCCATGCATTAGGAGAGCTATTGGTTTATTTTCCTACTAAACTGTTAAACACTATTATTTCATATTTGTTTACAATAGAAAAAGAAAGTTGGCCGGGTGTGGTGACTCACACCTGTCATCCCAGCACTTTGGGAGGCCAAGGCGGGGGGATCACCTGAGGTCAGGAGTTCGAGACCAGCCTGGCCAACATGGCGAAACCCCATCTCTACTAAAAATACAAAAATTAGGCTGGCACGGTGGCTCACACCTGTAATTCCAGCACTTTGGGAGCCCGAGGTGGGCAGATCACAAGGTCAGGAGATCAAGACCATCCTGGCTAACACGGTGAAACCCCATCTCTACTATAAAATTAAAAAAATATCCAGGTGTGGTGGTGGGTGCCTGTGGTCCCAGCTACTCTGGAGGCTGAGGCAGGAGAATGGCATGAACCCGGGAGGTGGAGTTTGCAGTGAGCCGAGATTGTGCCACTATACTCCAGCCTGGGCGACAGAGTGAGACTCCATCTCAAAAAAAAAAAATTAGCTGGGCATTGTGGCAGGCACCTGTAATCCCAGCTACTCAGGAGGCTGAGGCAGGAGAATCACTTGAACCTGGGGAGGCGGAGGTTGCAGTGAGCCAAGATCATGCCATTGCACTCTAGGCCTGGGCAACAGGGCAAGACTCCATCTCAAAAAATAAATAAATTAATTAAATAAATAGGAAAGTTGTCAGTTGTTATATTTCTGAACCTACTGTCAAATTTTTGTTGAAGTCATCTTCTCTCTTGCAAGATGCCAGATTTTTATGGTGTCTATAAGTGTCAGGCAGACTGATAATGATGGATGATGATGGTAACCCTCATACATATACTTAAGGGACAAAACTGGTGTCAGGAGACCCGGGATCTACTTTTCAGTGTTAAACTGTGCTATTTTTGTATCTGTCAGAGATCCACCGTTTCTGTATAAGTACTACTCTGTTCCTCCAATCCCTCTGTGGACAATAACGCAGACACAATCAATTCCAGCTACCTTGGTTCATAGTGTAAAGAAGGTAGATGTCCAAGATACTGTATGTTTAAAACAAGTTTAGTCATTCATAATTGAATAGATGCTTTCATGAGTCTCTTAGCATTAACTAAAATATAAACCCCTATACAATTCCAAACACATTATAATAAATTTGTCAAAGTAATATGCATTTCATCCTAACTCTTTAGTTTAACCCTATCATCACTTTTATATTAAAATTTTATTGTCTAAAGAATGATTAAGAAAAACCATATTAGAATGGGCTAGTGTGGGATGGAAAGTGGAAGGTACAATTCTGGAGTTAAGAATGGCTTTGTGTTTCTCCTGTCTGGAGGTGAGGGTATATCTCAGGTTTAACTGAGATACACTGGGTGTTTCTAGTTACTTTAGGGAGGGGAGTGGAGTGGAGGGTAGGAGGAGGGGAAAACATGTCCCGAAATCTCAAGAACAAAATTAATTTAAATTTGCTTAGGAGTTTTTTCCAGAACACATATGCACGATGGTGGGTGCGGGAATGAAATTGATCATCTCCCAGCAATGGCTCTGGAGCTGATCAGTAGCACCATTCAACACCCTATCAGGGTTACTATCCCCCAGACTGCTGACCCAAAGAGTGGTAGTTTCCCTCAGGCAGGGGGAAACTGGTGGGGCTCTAGAAGAGCTAACCAAGTCCTCTCACGGTCTTGGATATGGCAGCTGAGATGCATCAGTCAGGCCACTCTGGCAGGTACAAATTATTTTTCCTCTGGGGAAACCACATAATGTCACATTTAATTTGTCATGAGCCAGAGTCATGCCAAGTCATGGTAATTTCAGGCTTTCCAGAAGCTATAGAGTGACCCAGAAATGTTAACTATCAGAGGGACTGTGTATTTGAGTTGGTCAGTCAATCTTTCTTGTTCAAATGTCCTGTTGGCATAACGGGAAGGACATTGGCCAAGTACAAGCAATGGGACTTTAGACTCTCGAACGTTTCAGTCCTGTCATTTTAGCTACCTCCTGGCTCATGTTCTCTGTATCATGATTTCTCTAACCTTTGGTCCAACTATTTTCATTCAAGAGACAGCTTTCAGGCAGGGCATGTTGTTCCTTATACCCAAGTGTCCCTTCTTAACTACACCTTTGCAGCTGCAGGAAAAGCAACAAGCATTTGGAAATCCCCAGGGTGTTCTTGGCCACCAAGAGACACAGAGAGGCTACTCTGTGTGTGTGGTTTGTCACATACAGCTGAGTCCCTCTTCCCAGAGCTAGCTAGAGTGCTGCTGAGTCAGAGCTTCAAAAACAATGACATGCTCAACTGAGCAAGGACCTGGGCTCAGAGCAGATATTTCCAAGTTTTAACAAAACAAAATCTCAGCGGGTTTTAATATAATCCAAATAGTAGGTGCTCAGAGATTTGGCACACAAAGCAGGTTAGTGGCTCTTTTCCTCTCACTTGTTCTAGTGGCCTACAACCCCATAATTCACTGAAATGAGCTCACGGTTTTCTGCTGAAACAGAAAGGTCTTCTTGCTATTTATTAAGAGTTTAGTGAAGGGGGAGTTAGTGTGGAATGAGTAGCATTTCAGTTGGAGAAGATGCAAAAGTTCTGGAAGTTGATGGAGTAATGGTTGCTCAACAATCTGAATAATATGTATATTTTACTGCAATTTAAAACAAGAGTTTGAGTTTGTGGGAGCTGGGGGGGGGGATACAGTTTCAGTACTATACATGGAAGAACTGTTTTTTTCTCACTAGATCTTTTCCTTTTGGTGCTCATAAAGAGTCCAGAATCTTAGAATATTGAAAGGTAAAATTTGAGACCTAAAAATAAGAAAAGTTCTAAATAATCCAAACGGGTAAATCTCTCTTAATTAAATAGTAGCGACAAGATTTTCCAACTGCAAAAACTGGAAAGAAATTTAACCTCCAAAATGCATGGGAAAAAAAAGTCATCCAGGCAAACATGTTGACTACATAAAGACCTAGATCTGCTTGTCTTGGAGACACTTGCACTGATTTTGGACCTGTTTTGAGTCAGCGGTTTACCTCTGAATGGCCATTGTCAGAGGAGCTCCAGAGTATTTGAAGAACAATATCCCATATTTTAAAATGTTAAAAAAAAAAAGTATTCAGAACATGAAAATTATCTCTATAAAGGGTTTGAAACTGTATGAAGAATTTGTGTTACTAATTAGCCTCATTAAAGAACTATGTCAAGATTAGAATATTATTTTTTCCAACACTTCAATCTCATATTTTAACTGCATCGATTATTGGATAATCCACAAAGGACTACTACAAATTATTGTGATGAATGAGCCCTTTCCAGGGAAAGGGATTATCATGCCAGCAGCACACCACTCCTGTTGACTGCAAATAGGAGACTGGATTATGGCTCCTTTGGGGCTCAAGAGGGAACACTGTATTCAATTACAATGTCCGCTATGAGGCTGAGGGGAATGGACATTTGGGCCTGGATTAAATTAAGACAGGTGATATTAACATCATCAGCATCAACACAACCAAGATAGAAGATGAAAATATGAATACCTCTGGGTGCTACACTAATAGGTCTTCTCTAGGAATCCTAAAAGTCAGGAGGACAGAGAGCATAGGTCTGATTATGTCTTTAAAGGAAATTAATCACTACAGATAGCTTGAGGTGGCATTTCAATAAATTATTCCTCCAAAAGGTAGAAAGGACTATGTTTGTTCTCAAGTACCTCAAATACAGCTGTATATAACTCAGAACACAACACAATTAGTCCTTGCAGGGAAAAGGCGTTTCTAGAAGAAAACACTGAGGCTGCTTTTTTGTGATCTGAGGCTTAAAGGTCGGAAGTCCAGTCTCCAGCCATAGTCTAGTCTCCTACTTGCATCCTACTGGCATGATTATTTCTTATTAAAAAAAAAATTGAGGGGGAAGTAGTAAAAGGTAGAAACTGTTGAAGTGTTCAGGGGTAGCATTCAGGGGAAATCACGTTTCATGCATTTACTACATTTATGTAGTTGTAGTCAGGCCTTTGTCAAAAAAGATAGGGGATTAATAAGGTTATTAAATAGCATAAAAGAGGGATATATTTCTCAACTAAAATAATTCAGACTTTAATAACGTGTAATTTTATTTTAAAGAAAAAAAGCCACAGCCGGGCACAGTGGCTCATGCCTATAATACTAGCACTTTGGGAGGCCGAGGCGGGCTGATTACCTGAGGTCAGGAGTTCAAGTCCAGCCTGGCCAACATGGTGAAACCCCGTCTCTACTAAAAATACAAAAATTAGCCGGGTGTAGTGGCACACACCTGTAATCCCAGCTACTCGGAAGGCTGAGGCACGAGAATTGTTTGAACCCGGGACACGGAGGTTGCAGTGAGCCGAGATCGCGCCACTGCACTCCAGCCTCGGCAACAGAGTAAGACTCTGTCTCAGGGAAAAAAAAAAAAAAAAAAAAATCACAAAACCCCAAGAGTAAAGAATACATGCTCACACTCTCAGATCAACCCCAGTTTGAGAACAAGTGCTCTGATTCAGAAACTCTATGAATCAAAGCAAATTAAAATATTCTCATATAATTTTAAAATTCCCAGAAATACCTCTTCAGATTTTGCAGGCATTGTCTGTAAATCCAGGGTGAAAACCACTTCTCTAGCCTATGACTTCATACCTAGTGGTACCAATACCTCCTGGGGCCTGGTTCATAAAATCTGTATTGTAAAATTCCTTTTAGATAAAGTTGCCATTCTATTTCAGCCAGTGCTTAACATAAATGCACTGAATGAATGAATGAATGAATCCACACTAATGCATTTTACCCTGAGACCGTTTTCATATGATCCGTGTGTGTAGGCGTTTGTGTGTCTGTTGGAGGGGGGGAGCGGTGCAGGCATGCACATGCACGCGGTAGTTATCTAGTTATTTTGGACTATCTTTGTACCTCTGCCCCTCTTAGGAAAGGTTTTCAGGAAAAATTTTCTTCTGTTGTTCTTCCCTTGTTTTTGACCTGGGAAGACAGTAGCTCAAACCAATTGTCATCTACTTATAAACAGCAGGTTTCTGGCTTCCAGTGGAAGGTGGCTGGGTTGCCGGCCCACACAAATCAGACAGTTCCCATTCTATCTGAATGGACACGGGGCGTGAACAAGGGGCACCTTACAGAAGACTGCTCATAGCTTATATTGCAGGTGGTTTGTAAGGAAAGTACAACACCAAACTCCCTTTTTAGGAGAAACAGGAGAGGGGACAATACATATTAGGTTGGTGCAAAAGTTAACTGCGGTTTTGCCATTGAAAACAATGGCAAAAATTGCAATTGATATCTTTTGAACTAAATATGTATAATTCTTAATTGCAGGTGAAAAAAAACCCAGAACCCCAGAGGTGACCAGGTTTGCCTTACCAGTTTGTACCTGTACAATCTGTACCAGTTTGCTAGCATTACTCATGGATGTACTCAGAGCTTATTGTCACCACTAGATCTCTTTCTGTGTAAATAAAGACATCTTCCTGGAAAACTGTGCCCACATTAACTCCTTGACTTTACTATTTCTGGTAACCTGTGCCACACTTACATTCAAGACCATTCAAGGGTTGAGGGAAAAATTATAGAAATCTACAAATACAGCCTGTATTTTCTATTACTTTCTGGAAGGTAAATTACATTCCCCTTCCCTAAGGCCAGTCTTGATGATTAAAATCAAACACCACCAGAGACCAACCCTCAGCATTTGTTAATGAGAACAGGAGGGTCCCCAAATGAAAAGCTTAATTCCTAATCTGAATCCTAACTCTACAGATGAAAGTATGCTCAGATATGGGACTTGGAAATAGCTGTGTTGCTCTTTTCTTCCCCCATGTTTTAATATTAGCTCAGCTCAGTGGGCCTTTTAAAGGGGTCTCTGTACATTTTATAAGTCCGTGGAGGTATATTTTTAGTAGAGCTCGAAAATCAGCATGTTCAGTATAAACTATCTACTCTTAATATGCACAATGTAAAATTATTTAAAAGGAAAGAGGGAGCGAACAATAAAAAGTAGAAGTCAGGCAAGAACTCAAATTCATTCATTGTAACTTTCTTGCAACCAACAAAATAGGACCTTCAAAATGTTTCTTTGCTCACTAAATAAATACTGTGGATATGTTGCTACAAAGAGAGGGAGAGGAAATGGAAGAAGATACTCACCTAGTTCGGGTGCTTTGCTTAGCACAAATGCATAAGCCCAGAATTTGCTGACAGGTCCATTGTAAAAACCCTGGTCACAAACTGACTGCTTCAGGCCTTTGGTCATCAAAATGTACACCATATAAGCACCAGTTCGAAGAGCACCGAATATACTTCATAATGAAAAGAGAAAAGAAACAGCATTTAGGAAAATAGTTTCACTTCTCACATCAACCATACTTAGAAGACTGGTTGGCCACTGGCAGGAAATAGGCATAAGAATCATATTATTTGTATTTCCTTGAAAGCATCTTAAAATGTTCTGTAAACAAGAGCTAATACAATGACTCAAGGGCTTTATTCTGAAACCATATATGATACCACTTCCTCTTCATCACTGTTCCAAAAAGAGGTCATGAAAAAGGGTAACAGATTCAGAGCAGGATCTCATGAAGAATGCTGGTGACCTTTGAGTTTCAGCTTGGGAACTATTCCTTGGAGAGCAGATGGGTGTGGCTGCAAACTCTTGGAATTATCTCAAATTTGCCCTGTGCCCAATCATTCTCCAAGTTCTACTGGCTCTATTTCCTGAAAACCTGTTTACCTCTTTAGGCAAACTTTTCCTCTACCTCTGGACTCGCCTTGCCAGCCCAGGCTTTTTGTGCCCTCCTTGGATTTCTCCAGCAGTCTCCAAATCACTTTCTACTGTCTGATCCATCTTTCTCAGAGATGTCAGAATGAGACTCCTTCAAAAGCTTAGCTCTGTCACCTCCTCCAGGAAGCCCACTCAGGCAGAGATAAGTGCTCACTCCCTGAGCTCCCTAGAACCAGTGTTGTGCTAATACCACCCCAACACTGTTCTTCAATGCCCCGCAATGTGTTTAATCTCCACATAGGCACAGGTGCTCAATAAAGACTGTTGAAAAAGTGAGATTGTTGAAAAAGTGAAGAAAAAATAAACAATTTCTTTAAATCAGAGAACTGGTAAGGAAATAGGAAGTTCTGGAACACATTAGGCTCAAGAAACACAACCTGCCATGGGAAAGCACTTGGCAATAGGAACAAGCAGCCACTATTACGAAGTGAGCCCCTTAAGTGTATGTCCCAGAGTGTGTGAACCATGCCCGGGACTGAAAGGAGAGCTGGCTGACCATGTGGGGAAGATGGACCTGCCTAGCCTTTTCTGCCCAAAAGGGCAGCATCTTACTCTAGAAGTCAGCTGAGAGATCAATGAATGAACAACTGTTGAATTGGGAAATGGAGCCTTCTTTTCTCCTCAGAGGCACTGTTTTTTACTTAAAATATCTTAGAGTTGCTCTAGAATAAATCATTCCACTAGGCTAACCTGTCCAGAAAGCACGCATCTGCCAACTAGAACTAAAGGTCAACTTTCTACAGTATCAAAATAATGAAGTTTAATTCCTGGCAATTGTCTATTAAGTTGGGTCTTTGTAAGTAGCTTCTCTAAAGGTATAAAGACTCCATCAAATGGTGTTACTCTTTCCACTGTATGAAATTGTCCTGCAGAGGATTACTGTCATTTTACAGATATAGATCCTGTTTAATCCTTCAGTGGTTTTTCTCTGCACTTGGAATAAAAACCTCAACTCCTTTATCAGGACCGACAAGGCCTCTCTGCACTGCCTCTCTCTCCCCATTCTCCACTCTCACCTCCTGCCATTCTCTTCTTGTTCACTGTGAGCCAATCACTCCAGAACTTTCAGACACTTTCAGTTTTCTGCCTCAGGACCTTTGCATTTCTCCCCTGTTCATAACAAAACTGGCTTTTTACTTTCTTATCTTAAGGAAATGTCTCCTCCCCGTGGAATGACCTAAGTCTTTATAGTCCATTATCTGTCCTAATTTGGGGATGAAGGGTTGATTTCATTAGTAGCATCAAGTAATAGAGATTTTTCTGTCTTATCTGAATTTTTTTTGTGTACTGTCTTTCCCTCACCAAATGATGGCTTTTTTTTTTTTTTTTTTTTTTTTTGAGACAGAATCTCGCTCTCTCAGCCAGGCTGGAGTACAGTGGCATGATCTCAGCTCACTGCAACCTCCGCCTCCTGGGTTCAAGTGACTCTCCTTCCTCAGCCTCCCAAGTAGCTGGGACTACAGGCATGCACCACCATGCCAGGCTAATTTTTTGTGTTTTTAGTAGAGATGGGGTTTCACTATGTTGGCCAGGCCGGTCTCAAACTCCTGACCTCGTGATCCACCTGCCTCGGCCTCCCAAAGTGCTGGGGTATAGCCCAAAACCCTTCCTCTTACTCTACTTGCTGTTAGACTATGTAATTCCCACATGATCAGAGTAGATCCAAAGAATGTATGCTTGAAATGGTTGCTATCCTTTCATCCTTTTGGGTCTCAAAAAATCATTGTAATTTATTCCCAATTTCTAAGGTATTCACACAAGTTCATTTATTCTTTCAGTGGTCAAATATTTATTGGCATGGTTTTAGATGATGGAGTGAAAAAAAATCATTAAGCTAACTCTGGCTAGTGAGTGGTAGTCCTAGAAGACTTCAGAGGAAGTGGTATTTGAATTAGGGGCAAATAGGTATTCACAAGTTTGAGGGCTAGGGTATGGGGAGGTCAGTTCAGAGCACTGTAGAGTTGAAGGTTTTGATATCATGGTGACCTATAATATTGCTGACAGCAAGTGTATAGCACATATTATTGTCCCATATCTGGACATGTGCCTCATTCCCTAAGCTCTGAACAATAAGGCTAACTCAGAACAGAGGACAGTAGCACTTTTCAGGGAAACCGTCAGTGCCAGCCATTGGGCCCATGTGTCTGTGGGCAAAGGCGCATTGTTGGGATGTGACAGTGCTACTGCTGGGGAGCACTGTGGGGGCCAATGGGATAATTGTTATTTGTGGGGAGCCACTAGCTCTGCCCCTCGCACATTTCATCCTCTGCACGCTTTGGAACCAGGTGGTTTTTATCACAACAGTGTCACATCGTGACACTTTAACAAAATACACTTTAAGGTGAAGAGGCTTTCCTTCCTCCCCAAGTTACATTAGCTTGAGAGGCAGCGTGATGCAGCAGGCAAATATGCTGCTGTTCTGCTACCCCTAGTCCTTACTTAGGCTCACAGCAGATGCTGCTAATCAATCTCAGCAGTCTTTCTGGCCATCCCTGGACCACACATTTAAGTTCTCGGCCACTCTATGCCACTGTCAATAGATTAGAGTTGCAAATCGAACCCTTTGTACAATAGGCTCCAATCACAGTCCAATCACTTATTACTAACAGTTTTATAATTAGCCAAGTTACTGAAGTATTTTTTCCTCTGAAATGAGAATAATATCTAACATGCAAATTCATCGTATGAATTTTTTGAAGCAATATAAGTAAGGTATTTAGCTAGCATCAAGCCTCTGATACACAGGTGCTCAACGAAACAGTTTTCATTATATTACTCTTCTTACTCTATCACTATTTGTATTACTATTATTGCTGATTTACTTCGGCTAACCCTCAATGTTGAAAATCACCTTCCTCGCTGATCTTATTTTGTCAGGTAAGAGAGGTTAAGGTTAATTAACCCTAATTCAAAGTTAAGGAAACTGATTTACAGCTAGTTCAATTTGCCACATTGATTGTTCACATTATTCCTATTGCTATGAGAATTTTTATTTATATAGATATTTTTCTTGGACAAGTGAGTCTCTAGGAGCCGAGGATGGCTGTCATTCTCGAAGTACTTCTCAGGTTTCCGGAGGCCTGCTCCTGGTGTGGCGACCCCAAGGAGGGACATCTCCTGCAGTGGGGTTGCTCTTTTGGAGCAGTCGAAGTTGGCCAGAGCGTGGGGTCAAGGAGGGACAGCCTAGGCAGTCCACACCTGGTGGGCTCAGTCCCCCAGTTCCTGATCCTGACTCTCATCTCCACAAAAGGTAACCATGCACCAACTTTCCACAAGTGACAACTAGCAAGTTTACGACAGGATGTGAAATGAGCACTTTCCATAGAAGGGCTTGAAGGAGAGGCTGTTGGTATAGAAAAGCTTCTGTTTCAAGTGAAATGTATCTTTCCTTCAGATGATATAGATTATTCTAAATCTAGAGCCTCAAAGAGGCTGAGGGTCTGGACCACTGTGTTGAATGAAGGCAGATGATTACTACGTCACATGCCTTTTCCCAGCTCTATGGTCATACTTTAAAAAAAAAAAAGAAAATAAAAGAAAAAAAGAAATATACCATACAGGCTGGGCACGGTGGCTCATGCCTGTAATCCCAGCACTTTGGGATGCCGAGGAGGGTGGATCACCTGAGGTCAGGATTTCGAGACCAGCCTGGCCAACACGGTGAAACCCCATCTCTACTAAAAATACAAAAATTAGCCAGGTACGGTGGTACACGCCTGTAATCCTAGCTACTTGGGAGGGTGAGGCAGGAGAATTGCTTGAACCTGGGAAGTGGAGGTTGTAGTGAGCTGAGATCGCGCCATTGCACTCCAGCCTGGGCAACAAGAGTGAAACTCTGTCTCAAAAAAAAAAAAAAAAGAAAGAAAGAAAGAAAAAGAAATATACCATACATATCATTTTTGTCAAAGCCAAATGAAATCAGTGGAATAGCAGAGAGCTCTGTGGAGGGAGCAGTATACGTTTCTGCTCCCTCTGCAACATCAGACACAATGCAGCAAGGCGATGAGGAGGTGGGGATCACCATCCTGATTAGCTAAGGTGCTTTCTTCTCAAACTCCTGCACTGGATTCCTAATCCACAAGGAGCCTGTTTCCTGATCACTAGCTATTTGCCATGGGATGTCAGGAGGGGGCCAAGAATATCCATTATACAATTAACTGTAATACTTTGTGGGTGGGGGAGGGTAACTTCTATTTTGTACTGTGTACATTTCTGCACTATTTGACTCTTTTTTATTTTTTTTAAGTGATAAGATCTTGTTCTGTTGCACAGGCTGGAGTGCAGTGGCGCAATCACAGCTCACAACAGCCTTGAACTCCTGGACTCAAGTGATCCTCCTGCCTCAGCTTCCCAAGTAGCTAGGATTATAGGCAGAGCCACTGTGCCTATTTAACTATTTTTAATCAAGCACATATTAGAAATTTTTTTTTTAATGAAAATGGGGTCTCATCATCTTGCCCAGGCTGGTCTTGAACTCCTGGGCTCAAGCAACCCTCCTGCCACAGCCTCCCAAAGTGCTGGGATTATAGACGTGAGCTACTGCACCTGGCCTCGATTGATAATGTTTAAAAATCTACTTTCAATAGGTGCCTGGCCACAATTGATGCAATCACAATGGTACTAGCTTGTGAGGCTTTCCTAGTGAATTTCTAGCATGACGTTGACATATAACACTAATCTCTAATCAGCCCTTGGATGACAAACTGGCATTAGCACTCGGGGAGAAAAGACTGTTTCATGTATTAAATCAACACGTACTTAACACACACCAAGTGTCAGATATTACAGTACTCATGAGGGAGGTTGGGGAGGGGGCAGTTTCTACAGCCTATTGCAGGAGACAACAAACATGAAAATAAATATATATGTATAACAAAAACAATAGAAACAGTGGCACTGAAGAGCTGAAGGGTATGTATGTGTATATGGTTGGGAGTTTCCTTTGGATATTTACATAAACAGATGTTGGAATTTTTAGAATAAAAGTTTAGAAAGCAAGTTCTTGTTTTCAGGTTTTATTTTTTCTTGTGTAGGTGTATGTATTGGGGTCCTTTTTAAAGATGTATAAGAGATATAGCTAATCTTCTTTAAAACCAGGCTTTGGGCTGGGCTGGGCACAATGGCTCATGGCTGTAATCCTAGCACTTTGGAAGGCTGAAGTGGGTGGCTCACTTAAGCCCAACAGTTTGAAGCCAGCCTGGGCAATATGGTAAAACCCCATTTCTACAAATGCGAAAATTAGCTGGGCAAAGTGGTGCACACCTGTAGTCCCAGCTATTTGGGAGGCTGAGGTGAAAGGATCGCTTGAGTGCAGGATGTCGAGCCTGCAATAAGCCATAATTGTGCCACTGCACTCCAGCCTGGGTGACAGAGTGAGACCCTTTCTCAAAACGACAACAACAGCAACAACAACAAAACTTCCTAGGCTTTGACCATGACGTCTGACCATTTACCTACTTGGAAAAAGACTGAATAACTCTATATTTTAACCTTCCACTTTTATTTCCATCTGTAAGTCAAAATGGAATAGCTCAGTAATGTTAAGAATTCCAGAATTCTGCCCTGGGGGGAAAAAGAGCCTTGGGTATAAATCATCAATACTTTATTTTCACATGAACATCAATAGTTGATTTAAAAAAAAATTTTTACATTGTTCCCTTATTGATCTTCGTCTTAAATGTAAGTTTTTTTGGAATCAAACCATAGTTTCTCAAGGATCTTTTAATTCTGAAATGCTAACCACCAACCAATCTCCACCCTACTAACTCAATAACCAAAGGTACAATTACTTTCCCAGTATTAGGCAATTAAAATGTTTTATCATACTTCTATCCTACAATCAAAGGGGGGTGGGAGTGGGAAAGGAGTTGTCAAAAAACAGCAACAGGTGATCCAACAGCAGCAACTCTTTATTAACATAGGAGAGGTCACTGATTTTCCTGATAACAAAACCTGAACTGCTGTTGGTCTTAGACTCTGACAGTTTCCAGAGTAGGAAGAATATCCAGTGATGCCAGAACAGGTTAAAACAAATTAATCTCAAACCCACTGTAATGCCTCTAGATTTGGGGGATGATATAGGATTACAGTGCCTGTGATGCAGAATTATGGCATCTCAGGCCAGGCACGGTGGCTCATGCCTGTAATCCCAGCACTTTGGGAGGCCGAGATGGGCGGATCACGAGGTCAGGAGATCGAGATCATCCTGGCTAACACGGTGAAACCCCGTCTCTACTAAAAATACAAAAAAAAATTAGCCGGGCGTGGTGACAGGCGCCTGTGGTCCCAGCTACTCGGGAGGCTGAGACAGGAGAATCACGTGAACGCAGGAGGGGGAGCCTGCAGTAAGCCGAGATTGCACCACTGCACTCCAGCCTGGGCGACAGAGACTCTGTCTCAACAAAAAAAAAAAAAAAAAAAAAAAAAAGAATTATGGCATCTCCATGTCAATATCATGTCTCTACAAACAACATGCACCTCAAACTCTAAACCCTTTCCACACTTGAGAACAAGCATCTTTATTTTTATTTTATTTAAGTTCTGGGATACATGTGCAGAACGTGCAGGTTTGCTACATAGGTATACATGTGCCATGGTGGTTTGCTGCACCCATCAACGCATCATCTAGGTTTTAAGCCCTGCACACATTAGGTATTTGTCCTAATGCTCTCCCTCCCCATTGCCCCCCACCCCCTGCCAGGCCACAGTGTGTGATGTTTCCCTCCCTGCGTCCATGTGTTCTCATTGAGAACAGGCATCTTTAATAGACAATGTCTACTTTAATTGGTCTAGTGGTTAGCCTTAGCTAAAAATGTATTTTTCAATAATATAATAAGCCAAAGTGTAGATTTTCTTTTTTTGTCTAATAAATGTCTAAGCAGTTAAATCGGGGCATAGGTTGTAATTTTTCTGATAGTTTTCTTCCTCTACTACTTAACACTTCAGAGTGTATAACTTCACTTTTCCTTTGATTACTCTGTGATCATTTCTAGGTTTGAGTCATTTATCTTGCTTGAAATCTTAAATCAGATACCTCCATTAGAAAATCTGAAAATCTCCCCAACACCTTGTGGATCAAGAAACCTGAGGCAAAAATTACATATCACATTATCATAATAAAAAATACACATATTTTGACCTAGTAATTCCACTGTTGGAACATGCATTAGTCCGTTCTCACACTGCCATAAAAAACTGCCTGAGACTGGGTAATTTGTAAAGGAAAGAGTTTTTATTGACTTGCAGTTCCACAGGGCTGGGGAAGCCTCAGGAGACTTACAATCACGGTGGAAGAAGAAGCAAACATGTCCTTCTTCACACGGTAGCAGAAAGGAGAAGTGCCAAGAAATGTCCTCTGACATGAAAATCGGTAAATAAATTACAATGAACACAATACAGCCATGAAATGTACCAACGATCTCTGCATCAGGTGCTGACATAAAAGAACATCAAGATGCACGATTAAGTGAAAAACATAAGGAGCAGGACAATATCTATGGTATGATCCAATTTGTGTACATTTTTTTAAAGGTTATGCGTCTATGTGATTATTACCATGTTAGAATTTCATTAATCAACATACCACTTTCTTTCAGAAGCTATTAGAAAACCAACTTTAAATCCTCATTTCTAATATTTATGTCTTTCACATATTTTAAGTTGATATCTGGTGTCAAATAATCCTTGTGTTTTTTTAATTTAAAAAAATGATACCTTAAAAGTCTGAATGTTACTTAGACATTAACGCCTTTCACAGAGCTCTCCTCTGAGATCTGACATGCTAGCTGGAGCTTTTAGTCTAGTGGGGAATCAGACAATCAATAACTGAAAAAAGGACAGTAATAAATAAATTAAAACTAAAATACATAAGAAAGAAAAGTATTAGACATAAAAGCTAAACTTAATTTAGACTAGGATAAGGAAGACAGAGGACAGAGATAAGGCCTTTTTGGAGAAATAACATTTAGGCCTTCAGGCACGAAGTAACTTCCACAGCATTCTGTATCTAAAATGGTACCTAAAAATGACTAATAGTATCATATGATGATAATCTTGAACTCCTAGACTGAGAAAATGCTACATGTTGCAGTGCGAAGCCTGTCTGTGCTGAAGACTTCATGGAAGAAACAGTAAGTGAGGAAAGTCTTGGAGCACAGAGAAGCTATCTTCGTGGACAATATGATCCCCCGATAAACATGAGATGAGAGTGCACTCTACGGCTGCTGTCTCAACTCACCACCAATCCCCCTGATAAGTCAGAAAACTTCATCGCAAACAGATGTTCTGATTAAATGTTTGATAGGATCAGTTGGCTTCGATTCACTTTCAGAAGTACCCGCTTATTGTCTTAACTTGTAAACCTAAGCTTTTTAAACATAAAAAAGATGGCTTTAAGGGTCTGAACGTTTCTTAGATAATAACTCCCTTGCTTTTCAGAGGTCTGACATGTTGGATACTGCTCAGCACTATCCTTGCATCTGGAGTGTGCAACTGGAAAAGAGCACACTTGCTCCAGTTACCTGGCACAGCAAAGAAATGTGGGGGGCCAAGTTTTAGAAACTAACCTGATAAAAACCACCTGGCAGAGTGAGGCGTGAGGAGGGGTGGAGAGATTATAAGTAATAGGCTGGGGTCCATGGCTCACGCCTGTAATCCCAACACTTTGGAAGACCCAGGCAGGAGGATTGCCTAAGCTCAGGAGTTTGAGACTGGCTTGGCTAACATGGCGAAACCTGTCTCTACTAAAAACACAAAAATTAGCTGGGCGTGGTGGCAGCGCCTGTAGTCCCAGCTACTCAGGAGGCTGAGGCTGGAACCTGGGAGGCAGAGGTTGCAGAGAGCCAAGATTGCGCCACTGCACTCCAGCCTGGGTGACAGAGCAAGACTCTGTCTCCAAATAATAATAATAATAATAATAATAATAATAATAATAATAGGGACACTTGGTACCATAATGGATGTCAACTAGCATTTCCCAAAAGAAACAGAACACCTGGTTATAGAATTTATAACATTTTGAGATTCTGATGAAGATATCACACACTATTTTGTAAAAACAAGCAGGATTTATGTCACTTAAGCTACCTTTTTTTTTTTCTTTGAGATATAAAGACTTCATCTCCTTGGCACTACTAATAGCCTCGACCCCATCAAGGCCAGAGAGAAAGGCAGTTACTGCTTGCTCCAGCCCATCTCCCAGACTAAACAATGCAAGGCTTCAATGCTGGCTGACCAGTACTTGACTCTGTGCGAGCACTGCACTGGATGCTGCCATGGTATTTCACATTTACAGAACTTGATTGAGCCCCTAGATTATGGAATTTGATTCTCCCTACACCTCATGGGGCACCATTATCCCTGTTTTATAGACAAAGAAACAGGCACAGAGAGGGCAGAGGACTGGCCCAAGGTCTCACAGTTACTAAGTAGCAGAATCTTCTGTCTACAGCTCAGTGCCTTTTACCTGATAGCTGATCCTGAAAACTCACTGGGCTTTCATTTAGGATAGTGTTTCTCTGCCTGGCTGGAAATGACAATCACCTGGAAGCACTAAGGCAATTCTAACACCTAGGAGTCATCTCATAACAACTGGCTCAGAATCTTGACTTGGGAGCCCCTGTGGGTCCTAGCTCCCCAGCTGTGGATTAGGGACACCTTTGGAGACCCCACCGTGCAAGATGCCTTCTGGCCTGTTCTCCCTCTACAACCCCACTCCATGAGCCTGGGGATGACACTGCTTAGGCAGCTGATAAAGAACGGTGCCTTTCTGTACATCCCTGGTGTCCTAGATGAGAACCCTTCTCCTGGAATTTTAAACCTAAAGAGGTGTACTAAATTCTACAAAATTAATTACTGGTGGGTATGCTTTCTTCCCTTGCCTTTTCTTCTTCACTCAACTATGGAAGAGATGCCACAACGCATTCCTGTGGAGGCTCAGCCATGCCAAATGAATACTGATTTCAACTACAAATGGAAAGAACAGTGTGCTGGTTTCTGGACTTTTCTAATAGGAACAAAGAACAAAGTTCTACCAATAGTGACCTCAATTAAGCAGAGCAGAAAATTAAAATGATGCTTATATGAACCAAAAAGAAACTGGAATACATGTATTCACAGTAAAGATTAATGTTGAAGCCAAAAAACTCACCAGGATCACAAAAGTGGTTAGTCATCTTGTTTCTACAGAAAACTTTGTTCCTTTGAGAAAACTATTAATCTCTTTCAGGGCATTATCAAATTATTAGGACAGTGACAATTCCAGTGCAACGATAATAGCAGTGCTCCATTAACTCCATCTCACAGTCCTAGGTAGGTTTCACGTTCTCATGAGGAAACCAAACATTTTTCCTGGGGGAAAAAATCTCACGTTGAACTGTAATCCCCAGTGTTGGAGGAGGGGCCTGCTGGGAGGTGATTGGAGGGGTGGACTTCCCCCTTGCCGTTCTTGTGATAGTGAGTGAGTCCTCACGAGATCTGGTTGTTTAAAGTGTGTAGCACCTCACCCTTGGCTCTCTTCCTCTTTCTTCGGCCAGTAAGATATGCCTGCTTCCCCAGTCGCCTCCACCATGATTGTAAGTTTCCTGAGGCCTCCCCAGCCATGCTTCCTGTACAGCCTGCGGAACTGTTGAGTCAATTAAACCTCTTTTTTTTTATAAATTAATCAGCCTCAGGTAGCTCTTTGTAGCAATGTAAGAAGGGACGAATAAAGATAATTAATGCAAATTTCATTGGGAGAGCACTTGAACCATGATATATAACATTATCTGTATAGAGTCTTCCCCCAACCCAACTAACTAAAAACCAGGGAGGGAAAAAAGTCATTTTGACCCTCAGTATTCCACATCCTTAAAATGAGGGGACTGGAAATACTCCTTATGATTCCAGCTCTAAACTGTGAACTGCAAGGAAGGGAGGTAGCAGAGTCATAAGCTCCGGCTCTTCCATATGCCCAGTTCCTTCCTTTGGGTTCATTAACCTAAAGATCCATTCCATCTTTACAATCTTTTAAAGATCACATTGTTCTTTTTTCCAAAGATGTTCATAGTTGTCCACAGTAACTGAATTATTATTAGCACAAAGCATACCAAAGAAGGTAAATGTAATGAAGTCATTTCACACATACTTGTAAGCACTCAGGTGATAGGCCCTGTGCTATACCTTACTCCTCACTGAAAAGAGCTTTGTTTTTTTCTTTCCATGTTTAGTTATTTTTACTGGAGCAAGTATGTGTATGCTCTGGAACTTAGGTCATTTGAAAGTGTGAACTGTGAAGTGTCTGGTCACGATATGCCACTACAGTGAGGGCAAATCACCTTCTTTTCAGGCAGGGGGACAAAGCTTCAGTTTCAGAACCAGCAGGGGGGATTCCTCCATGGCTGGCTCCCCCTCTCCCGCCCAGCCTTCCCTCCACAGTTTCCTCCACCGCTCCCTCCCGGAACTTGGCCAAGATCCACTGCCTGCTCAGAAGGATGCCAGGCGTCTAAGCACCACTCCAGAGCACTGGAGCAAGGGGTTTTGTGTTTTAAAAGATTGCTCAAATACCACCACTGAAAAGAGATGGTATGAAAAGATACTCCTTTCTAAATCACATCTTTCGTTGATAAATATATTTTAAATACAGGGATATACAGACCTCCAGGGAAGTTTCAGGAGGATTTTCCAAAAGATTTCAGGGCCTGCAATATCTGGTGAACTCTTTGGCTGATAACTTCATAACGTGAGAAGGGCGGAGCCAGCCTCCTCCTCACCTGGATCCTTTGTATGAGAAATACAGTAGTTCACAAATGAAATCAATCCACCAGCGTGAGATCAGTGAGACAGATATCAGCTGAAGCCTGTTGACTGACAGCCGTCAACTTGCTGGAGCACCTAACTCCTAGCAGCTGACCAGCACACTCTCAGAACATTGAGTCTGCCAGCTTTAAATAAAAAAATTAAGTGGCACCTGTAAAAATCCTTTGGCCAGGCGCAGTGGCTCACACCTGTAATCCCAGCACTTTGGGAGGCCGAGGCGTGTGGATCATGAGGTCAAGAGATCGAGACCATCCTGGCCAACACGGCGAAACGCTGTCTCTACTAAAAATACAAAAATTAGCTGGGTATGGTGGCACATGCCTGTAATCCCAGGTACTTGGGAGGCTGAGGCAGGAGAATAGCTTGAACTAGGGAGTCAGAGGTTGCAGTGAGCCAAGATCGCACCAATGTACTCCAGCCTGGTGACAGAGAGAGACTCCGTCTCAAAAAAAATCCTTTGTACTAGTATTTCTAGAAATCATGGGAATTTATCTGCCAGGTGAAACTCACTAGTAGGCTCTTTAGTTGCAAGGTCTTATACATGGTGCCCAGATGGGCCACCCTCCAAATGTGCCACACTGGCAACAGTTGGCAGTGACTATGTTGCCGAGTTCATCTGCTTCTTCAAGAGAAATCCCAGTGAAAAACCCTGGGAGCACTTTTATCTCTGACCTGTGGCCAGTTCAGCAGCTCTTGAAGTCTCCAAGATGCTGGCATGGTTGCTCAGACATTTGAGAATCTCCAAATGGCCTTCTCTGGGGTCCTCTCATCTCCATTTCAGGAACTTCCTGTTCCTCAAAGGCAGCCTGAAAGTTGTCACCCTATTGTACTTCAAAGCCCTAATCAAAGCCTTCCAGAGTCCTGTGAAATAAGGCAACAAGAAGTCCTGGCCCCAATTTAATCACGAAATGATTTTGAAAATGAGAATCATACACAGATAAGCTAATTTTTATATATGTGTATACAACTGATTTAAGAAGAAAAATTAACTCTGTGGTTTGTGAATCTGGAAGAGTTAGGAACATGCTTAAACTCTCGTACCTATTCTACTGATTTCCGTGCATTTCATCCTTACAATTTTTTTAAGGTCAATCTGCTAGAATGTAATGATACAATTCTGGTAATTTTCAAAATGAGAAATCTATGTATACCTTTATCATCTCCATACCACACGTGCCGCCAAGCTCATAGGGCTGATAGCGGGCACACACTGGACTGCTGCCTGGCTTGGCATTCTACCAGTACTGTCCCAGGAGCAGAGCTCACTCTTTTCACAGAGGCATTTTTTTTTTTAACCTCAGGGTAGGAAAAACATAAAATATCATTAAGTGTGTTCTCACAAATTATCTTAAGTGTCTTTGGGGAAAAAGTCTGAAAGTGGGTTGTGCCTGTGGAATAACCTTGGGCCCTTAAGCACCAATGAATAACGCAAACTCAGTGGGTATTTGTGAGCTATGACATTTATGATTATTAAGCAGGGTTTCATAATAAAGGTTTCAAAAAGTCTGTGGTATTTCTTGCTTCACAGATTCCCAGACTACTGAATTTTCCTAATGGCCTCATAGCTGAACTCCCCAGGAAGTCTCTACATTTCCTCCAAGGAGAACGTATTTTTCTCCCTTCACTATGAAATGTAAGCATTGAGGAACAAGGAAAATTCCTTCCACCGCTGCCCCTGACCTCACAGCCAGTCCAGCAGAGAGGATGGAGCCCTTGATGCTTTAGGGCTTTCCTGTCTTCTGAAGGAAAAGCCGGTTTCCATCTGAAGTGTGAGAGGGGAAATAAAAAGACCACCGCTGGAAGATAATTGGTTTATCTCTCTCACTTTCTGGCTTATTCCTTATTCTTGTTCTATTCTTTTCCCATAGTCCATGGCCCTTCCAAACTTTAGGTTACAAAATACAGATTTGTCTCCTCCTTCTCTGCAAAACAAAATCCCATAATTCCTCAATTAGATATTAGGAGAAGACAAATGCAATGGGAGCAGGGAATGGCTGAAACTCCTTTGTCCTTCCTGGGGTATTACATAAATTTTCAACCAACAGAATTGCAGACAGCCCAGGTTCTAAATATAGTAATTCCTCAATATCAGGGAGACTTGTCCCAGGAACTCCCCAGGATACCAAAATCTGAGGATGCTCAAGTCTCTGATATGAAATGGCTTGGTATTTGCACATAACCTGTGTCCATCTTCCCATATACTTTAAAACATCTCCAGGATTACTTATAATAACACAATGTACATGCAATGTAAATAGTTGTTATACAGTATTTTAAAGTAATTTGTATTGTTGTCTTTATTTTTTTTCCTCCAAACCAAGCTTGGTTGAATCTGCAGATGCAGAACCTATAGATATGGAGGGCTGACTGTAATTTCAGCCAGGGGAGGGTCATGAGATTTTAATTATTTATTCAAGCAATATTTCCTGAACATTTTATATGTGCCAGGCATTATTTCAGGTAAGGAAGGAGGGACCTGAAATTTTAAGACCTGGAGAACTTTAGAAATGATGTGGATAAGACATTAGGTACTGGGGACATAGCAGTAAACTCTGATAGGAATCACATTTGTTGGAGCTTATATCTTAAATGAGGGCAATAGATAGTATGTCAGGAAATATATATTATAGTACGCCAGATGGTGATAAGGAGTGTGTGGAGTGCTGGGTGGGAGTACAGTGTGCTGTTTTATTACATAATAAACATTTTTTAAAACTTATAGGCAGGAAGAACTCAATAATATGACGACACTTGAGCAGAGGCATCAAGGAAGTGGGTAAGCCCTGCGCTGGCTCTCCTTCCCGTAACTGGCCTTGGCACTCCATTGCATCCTCAAGTGTGCCCTGTTCCTTCATCTCCTGGAGCTGGAACTGTGATCCAGAATATGTAAAGAACAATTACAACTTAATAACAAATAACTCTATTAAAAAATGAGCAACAAAGGTAAATAGATGTTACTCCAGAGATAATACACAAATAATGAATCAAAAGCATATGAAAAGATGCTCAACCTCACTGATCATTAGAAAATGAAAATAATGAGGTATCACGTCACAGTCATTAGGATGGCTACTATCAAAAAAATGAAAAATAATTACTGTTAGGATGTGGAAAAATTGGAACCCATGTGCACTGTTGGAGGGAATATAAAATGGCTCTATGGCTATTGAAAACAGTATGGCAGTTTCTTAAAAAGAAATAGAATTGCCACATGATTCAGCAATTTCACTTCTGGGTGTGTATTCAAAAGAATTAGAAAAAGGATTTAGAGGAGTTCCTTGTACACACATGCTCAAAACAGCAGCATTATTCACAATTGGCAACAGATGAAAGCAACCTAAATGTATCAATGGATGAATGGATAAAAAAAATGTGGTATATATACAATGAAATATTACTAAGCCTTGAAAAGAAGATTATGACATATACTACAAAGTGGAAGAACCTGGAGGACATTATGCTAAGTGACATAAGCCAGTCACAAAAAGACAAATACTGTATGATTCTGCTTATGAGGTATCTAAAGCAGTCAAATTCATAGATACAGAAACTAGAATGGTGGTTGTTGGGTTAGGGGGAGGCAGAAATGAGGAGTTTTCACTTAATGGGTACAGTTTCAGTTTTATAAGATGAAAAAGTTCTAAAAATTGGTTGCACAACAATGAATATATGTAACACTACTGAACTATACACATAAAATGGTTAAGAGGATAAATCTTGTTATCCATTTTTCACCACCACCACCACAGCAGCACAAAAAGATCCCTGGAAGATGGCCTTAAATGTCTCTAACTCTAAACTCCTATTCCTTAAAGAATCACTTCCATATACCAATTAAATGGATTTTCAAGTTAATGACTTGTAAAATGTTGGGACAAAAAAAAGTCCAAATGTAGGTGACATGTGCTTTTGATGAAAATGCTAAAATAACTTCCTGAAACACATCAAAGTTTCCAACAATGAAGAGTTGATACCCTGAAACAATTTGACCAAAACTTGAATAGGCATAGTGATGTTGCATTGTAGTATTATGGCACACAGTGGGTAATAGCAAGCTGATGAGAAAAACCGAACTCCATTTTCACACAGTCACAGCTAGCATCCTGACAGACAGATGTGAAGAAATTGCTTGATAATGACTCAGTACTTGAATCTATAAATTGAATCTTTTTATAGGTAAAAATAAAAGTATTAGTGATAAGTGCTGAAGAAAAGAGATAAACATTAGTGCAAGTGTTCTTCAGACAAAATTATATGAAGCATGAGACGGTGCAGCTGAAACCAGAACTATTCTCTACAATTTACTGTATATAACTGTACAGTTATACATTCCATGGTGATGTTTTAGTCAAGCACAAATCACATATACAATGGTGGTCCTATATAATAATAGAACACACAGAGAAAACTGCTTTGTGGCACTTGCTTTTGGCAGTGCAGATCAAGTAGGAGAAATGATTCATATTCAGTAATGGTCCTAGGACACTTGCTTTTCCATATGAAAAAAATATGTAAATAAAAATATATACCCTCTAGGTTTGTGGAAGTACACAAGGATAAAGTCACCTAGCGAGGTGGAGCCAAGAAGGTCAAATAAGAACAGCTCCAGTCTACAGCTCCCAGTGTGAGCAATGCAGAAGATGGGTGATTTCTGCATTTCCAACTGAGGAACCGGGTTCATCTCACTGGGGAGTGTTGGAAAGTGGGTGCAAGACAGTGGGTGCAGCGCACCGAGTGTGAGCCGAAGCAGGGCGAGGCATAACCTCACCCAGGAAGCTCAAGGGGTCAGGGAACTCCCTTTCCTAGTCAAAGAAAGGGGTGACAGACAGCACCTGGAAAATCGGGTCACTCCCACCCTAATACTGTGCTTTTCCAATGGTCTTAGCAAACGGCACACTAGGAGATTATATCCCGTGACTGGCTCGGAGGGTCCTACGCCCACAGAGCCTCGCTCATTGCTAGCACAGCAGTCTGAGATCAAACTGCAAGGCCGCAGCGAGGCTGGGAGAGGGGCGCCTGCCATTGCTGAGGCTTGAGTAGGTAAACAAAGCAGCCAGCCAGGAAGCTCGAACTGGGTGGAGCCAACCGCAGCTCAAGGAGGCCTGCCTGCCTCTGTAGACTCCACCTCTGGGGGCAGGGCATAGCCAAACAAAAGGCAGCAGAATCCTCTGCAGACTTAAATGTCCCTGTCTGACAGCTTTGAAGAGAGTAGTGGTTCTCCCAGCACGCAGCTGGAGATCTGAGAATGGACAGACTGTCTCCTCAAGTGGGTCCCTGACCCCCGAGTAGCCTAACTAGGAGGCACCCCCCAGTAGGGACAGACTGACACCTCACACAGCCGGGTGCTCCTCTGAGATAAAACTTCCAGAGGAATGATCAGGCAGCAATATTTGCTGGTCACCAATATCCGCTGTTCTGCAGCCTCCACTGCTGATACCCAGGCAAACAGGGTCTGGAGTGGACCTCCAGCAAACTCCAACAGACCTGCAGCTGTGGGTCCTGACTGTTAGAAGGAAAACTAACAAACAGAAAGGACATCCACACCAAAACTCCATCTGTATGTCACCATCGTCAAAGACCAAAGGTAGATAAAACCACAAAGACGGGGAAAAAACAGAGCAGAAAAACTGGAAACTCTAAAAATCAGAGCACCTCTCCTCCCCCAAAGGAACGCAACTCCTCACCAGCAATGGAACAAAGCTGGACGGACAATGACTTTGACGAGTTGAGATAAGAAGGCTTCAGACGATCAAACTACTCCGAGCTAAAGGAGGAAGTTCGAACCCATGGCAAAGAAGTTAAAAACCTTGAAAAAAAATTAGACGAAAGGCTAACTAGAATAACTAATGCAGAGAAGTCCTTAAAGGACCTGATGGAGCTGAAAACCAAGGCATGAGAACTACGTGATGAATGCACAAGCCTCAGTAGCCAATTTGATCAACTGGAAGAAACGGTATCAGAGATAGAAGATCAAATGGATGAAATAAAGCAAGAAGAGAACTTTAGAGAAAAAAGAATAAAAAGAAATGAACAAAGCCTCCAAGAAATACGGGACTATGTGAAAAGACCAAATCTACATCTGATTGGTGTACCTGAAAGTGACAGGGAGAATGGAACCAAGTTGGAAAACACTCTGCAGGATATTATCCAGGAGAACTTCCCAAATCTAGCAAGGCAGGACAACATTCATATTCAGGAAATACAGAGAACGCCACAAAGATACTCCTCAAGAAGAGCAACTCCAAGACACATAATTGTCAGATTCACCAAAGTTGACATGAAGGAAAAAATGTTAAGGGCAGCCAGAGAGAAAGGTTGGGTTATCCACGAAGGGAAGCCCATGAGACTAACAGCTGACCTCTTGGCAGAAACTCTACAAGCCAGAAGAGAGTGGGGGCCAATATTCAACATTCTTAAAGAAAAGAATTTTCAACCCAGAATTTCATATCCAGCCAAACTAAGCTTCATAAGTGAAGGAGAAATAAAATACTTTACAGACAAGCAAATGCTGAGAGATTTTGTCACCATCAGGCCTGCCCTAAAAGAGCTCCTGAAGGAAGCACTAAACATGGAAAGGAACAACCAGTACCAGCCACTGCAAAAACATGCCAAATTGTAAAGACCATTGAGGCTAGGAAGAAACTGCATCAACTAATGAGCAAAATAACCAGCTAACATCATAATGACAAGATCAAATTCACACATAACCATATTAACCTTAAATGTAAATGGGCTAAATGCTCCAAATTAAAGACACAGACTGGCAAATTGGATAAGGAGTCAAGACCCATCAGTGTGCTATATTCAGGAAACCCATCTCATGTGCAGAGACACACATAGGCTCAAAATAAAGGGATGGAGGAAGATCTACCAAGCAAATGGAAAACAAAAAAAGGCAGAGGTTGCAATCCTAGTCTCTGATAAAACAGACTTTAAGCCAACAAAGATCAAAAGAGACAAAGAAGGCCATTACATAATGGTAAAGGGATCAATTCAACAAGAAGAGATAACTATCCTAAATATATATGCACTCAATACAGGAGCACCCAGATTCATAAAGCAAGTCCTTAGAGACCTACAAAGAGACTTAGACTCCCACACAATAATAATGGGAGACTTTAACACCCTACTGTCAACATTAGACAGATCAACAAGACAGAAAGTTAACAAGGATATCCAGGAATTGAACTCGGCTCTGCACCAAGTGGACCTAATAGACATCTACAGAATTCTCCACCCCAAATCAACAGAATATACATTCTTTTCAGCACCACACCACACCCATTACAAAATTGACTGCATAGTTGGAAGTAAAGCTCTCCTCAGCAAATGGAAAAGAACAGAAATTATAACAAACTGTCTCTCAGACCACGGTGCAATCAAACTAGAACTCAGGATTAAGAAACTCACTCAAAACCGCTCAACTACATGAAAACTGAACAACCTGCTCCTGAATGACTACTGGGTACATAACGAAATGAAAGCAGAAATAAAGATGTTCTTTGAAACCAACGAGAACAAAGACAGAACATACCAGAATCTCTGGGACATATTCAAAGCAGTGTGTAGAGGGAAATTTACAGCACTAAATGCCCACAAGAGAAAGCAGAAAAGATCTAATTGACACCCTAACATCACAATTAAAAGAACTAGAGAAGCAAGAGCAAACACAGTCAAAAACTAGCAGAAGGCAAGAAATAACTAAGATCAGAGCAGAACTGAAGGAAACAGAGACACAAAAAACCCTTCAAAAAAAATCAATGAATCCAGGAGCTGGTTTTTTGAAAAGATCAACAAAATTGACCGACCACTAGCAAGACTAATAAAGAAGAAAAGAGAGAAGAATCAAATAGATGCAATAAAAAATGATAAAGGGGATATCACCACCGATCCCACAGAAATACAAACTACCATCAGAGAATGCTATAAACACCTCCACACAAATAAACTAGAAAATCTAGAAGAAATGGATAAATTCCTCGACACATACACCCTCCCAAGACTAAACCAGGAGGAAGTTGAATCTCTGAATAGACCAAAAATAGGCTCTGAAATTGAGGCAATAATTAATAGCTTACCAACCAAAAAAAGTCCAGGACCAGATGGATTCACAGCCGAATTCTACCAGAGGTACAAGGAGGAGCTGGTACCATTGCTTCTGAAACTATTACAATCAATAGAAAGAGAGGGAATCCTTCCTAACTCATTTTATGAGGCCAGCATCATCCTGATACCAAAGCCTGGCAGAAACAAAACAAAAAAAGAGAATTTTAGACCAATATCCCTGATGAACATTGATGCAAAAATCCTCAATAAAATACTGGCAAACCAAATCCAGCAGCGCATCAAAAAGCTTAAACACCATGATCAAGTGGGCTTCATCCCTGGGATGCAAGGCTGGTTCAGCATACGCAAATCAGTAAACGTAATCCAGGCTATAAACAAAACCAATGACAAAAACCACATGATTATCTCAATAGATGCAGAAAAGGCCTTTGACAAAATTCAACAGCGCTTCATGCTAAAAACTCTCAATAGATTAGGTATTGATGGGATGTATCTCAGAATAATAACAGCTATCCGTGACAAACCCACAGCCAATATCATACTGAATGGGCAAAAACTGTAAGCATTCCCTTTGAAAACTGGCACAAGACAGGGATGCCCTCTCTCACCACTCCTATTCAACATAGTGTTGGAAGTTCTGGCCAGGGTAATCAGGCAGGAGAAGGAAATAAAGGGTATTCAATTAGGAAAAGAGGAAGTCAAATTGTCCCTGTTTGCAGATGACATGATTGTATATCTAGAAAACCCCATCATCTCAGCCCAAAATCTCCTTAAGCTGATAGGCAACTTCAGCAAAGTCTCAGGATACAAAATCAATGTGCAAAAATCACAGGCATTCTTATACACCAACAACAGACTAACAGAGAGCCAAATCATGAGTGAACTCCCATTCACAATTGCTTCAAAGAGGATAAAATACCTAGGAATCCAACTTACAAGGGATGTGAAGGACCTCTTCAAGGAGAACTACAAACCACTGCTCAATGAAATAAAAGAGGATACAGACAAATGGAAGAACATTCCATGCTCATGGGTAGGAAGAATCAATATCGTGAAAATGGCCATACTGCCCAAGGTAATTTATAAATTCAATGCCATCCCCATCAAGCTACC
This sequence comes from Homo sapiens, assembly GCF_000001405.40. NCBI lineage: Eukaryota > Metazoa > Chordata > Mammalia > Primates > Hominidae > Homo > Homo sapiens. Next base: position 110,081,210 of record NC_000004.12, read on the forward strand.
AATGATTTTCTTCACAGAATTGGAAAAAACCACTTTAAAGTTCATATGGAACCAAAAAAGAGCCTGCATTGCCAAGTCAATCCTAAGCCAAAAGAACAAAGCTGGAGGCATCACACTACCTAACTTCAAACTATACTACAAGGCTACAGAAACCAAAACAGCATGGTACTGGTACCAAAACAGAGATATAGACCAATGGAACAGAATGGAGCCCTCAGAAATAATGCCACATATCTACAACCATCTGATATTTGACAAACCTGACAAAAACAAGAAATGGGGAAAGGATTCCCTATTTAATAAATGGTGCTGGGAAAACTGGCTAGTCATATGTATAAAGCTGAAACTGGATCCCTTCCTTACACCTTATACAAAAATTAATTCAAGATGGATTAAAGACTTAAATGTTAGACCTAAAACCATAAAAACCATAGAAGAAAACCTAGGCAATACCATTCAGGACATAGGCATGGGCAAGGACTTCATGTCTGAAACACTAAAAGCAAGGGCAACAAAAGCCAAAATTGACAAATGGGATCTAATTAAACTAAAGAGCTTCTGCACAGCAAAAGAAACTACCATCAGAGTGAACAGGCAACCTACAAAATGGGAGAAAATTTTTGCAATCTACTCATCTGACAAAGGGTTAATACCCAGAATCTACAAAGAACTCAAACAAATTTACAAGAAAAAAACAAACAGCCCCATCAAAAAGTGGGTGAAGGATATGAACAGACACTTCTGAAAAGAAGACATTTATGCAGCCAAAAGACACATGAAAAAATGCTCATCATCACTGGCCATCAGAGAAATGCAAATCAAAACCACAATGAGATACCGTCTCACACCAGTTAGAATGGCAATCATTAAAAAGTCAGGAAGCAACAGGTGCTGGAGAGGATGTGGAGAAATAGGAACACTTTTACACTGTTGGTGGGACTGTAAACTAGTTCAACCATCGTGGAAGTCAGTGTGGCGATTCCTCAGGGATCTAGAACTAGAAATACCATTTGACCCAGCTATCCCATTACTGGGTATATACCCAAAGGATTATAAATCATGCTACTATACAGACACATGCACACATATGTTTATTGCGGCACTATTCACAATAGCAAAGACTTGGAACCAACCCAAATGTCCAACAATGATAGACTGGATTAAGAAAATGTGGCACATATACACCATGGAATACTATGCAGCCATAAAAAATGATGAGTTCATGTCCTTTGTAGGGACATGGATGAAGCTGGAAACCATCATTCTCAGCAAACTATCGCAAGGACAAAAAACCAAACACCACATGTTCTCACTCATAGGTGGGAATTGAACAATGAGAACACATGGACACAGGAAGGGGAACATCACACACCAGGGCCTGTTGTGGGGTGGGGGTAGGGAGGAGGGGTAGCATTAGGAGATATACCTAATGTTAAATGATGAGTTAATGGGTGCAGCACACCAACATGGCACATGTATACATATGTAACAAACCTGCACATTGTGCACATGTACCCTAAAACTCAAAGTATAATAAAAAAATAAATAAAAAATCACCTAGCAACATACTTCTCAGGGTGCTTTTCTCACAGCGCATCCCTGTCAAGGGACGCATGACTGTGTATGATAGGCCATGTGTGTTTTCATTAGAGAATATGGACTCAACAATTATCCACAAACGCTTTTAACAGCTCCATAGAAATCTCAAATTAAGACATTATTACTTGTAAGTATCAGAACTAGTGAATGTTAACTGAAGATGGAGACAAGAATCTAGTGCCCAACATGAGCAAAACAAGAGAACACAGGTATCCTTTTAGGGAATTCTGATTTAATTAGGTTGTTTCTCTCTGGGTTTATTCACTTAAAAAAAAAGCAAACTTTTTCTATGCCGACTACATACTAGGTTCTTCATATCAAGTGATTAAGAAAAAGACAAATCAATTTTCACAAAACCCATATTCTAGTGAGGGAGACTGATGAATACATTAAAAATAGCTTACTAATTTCAGGTAGTAAGTGCCACAGGATAACAAAACCAGGTAAAGTGATAATGGACTAGGGATGAGGGCAAGAAGGTCGTCTTCTGACATGAAAGAAGTCCTCTCAGAAGCGGGGACATGTGATCTGATAACTGATCAATGAAAAGGGGCCAGGCTGGCCAAGACCTAGAGAAGAACATACCAGGTAGAGGGATAAATCACTAAGCACTAATCAGCTGGGCACGCTTGGTACGAGCCCAGAGGCTGGCGGTGATGGGGACTAAAGAGAGACATGGTTTAACAGGTGGGCATGGACTACAGCTTATAGGGCCTTTGAGGATCCTGACACAGAGATAGTAATAATTATACAATTCATTTTATTCTAACTGCACTGTACAAGCATTGGTAGGTTTTAAGCAGGTAATGACATGATTTGTATTTTTAATAATACAGGCTGCTGTGTGGTGAAAGGACTGTAGTAATTACTACATTAATATAAATGTTAAAATATTCATATTATTATAAAAGTAGTCAGGCACTTAAAAATATATTGTGTCCCGCATTTCCAAAGATGATGATGGTGGTGGTTAGTATGTGGTAACAATGGGCATAAGAGAAGCAGACAAACATAGGATCTATTTTGGCAGTATAGCTGCTTAGACTCCCTGAGATGCTGTGATGGATGCTGTGATATATATAGATAATATATATATACACATAGAGAGAGAGATAATATATATAGAGATATATATAACATGTTATATATGATATATATGATATAACATATGCCATATACGATATATAACATATGCCATATATGGTATATAACATATGCCATATATGGTATATAACACATGCTATATATGATATATAACATATATATGCTATATATGATATATAACATATATATGATATATATGATATATATAACATATATGTGATAATGATATATATGATATATATAACATATATGTGATATATATGATATATATAACATATAACTTATATGATATATATAACATATAACTTATATGATATATATAACATATATGATATATATAACATATAGCTTATATGTGATATATAACATATATAACTTATATATGATATATAACATATAACATATATAAATTTGATATATATCACATATATGATATATGATATATACCGCATATATGATATATGATATATATCGCATATATGATATATGATATATGACATACATGATATATCACATATATCATATATGATATATCGCATATATCATATATGATATATAACAATATACACTATAATGTATACACATATATATCATATATGTGTATACATTATATACACTTACACACACACACACACACACACACACACACAGATATATATATATATATATATATATATTTTTTTTTTTTTTTTTTTTTTTTGAGATGGAGTCTTGCTCTGTCGCCCAGACTGGAGTACAGTGGCGTGATCTCGGCTCACTGCAACCTCCACCTCCCGAGTTCAAGCAATTTTCCTGCCTCAGCCTCCTGAGTAGCTGGGGCTACAGGTGCGTGCCACCACACCTGGCTAATTTTTGTGTGTTTAGTAGAGATGGGGTTTCACCATGTTGGTCACGCTGGTCTCGAACTCTTGACCTCATGTTCTGCCCATCTTGGCTTCCCAAAGTGCTGGGATTACAGGTGTGAGCCACCGTGCCCGGCGTATGCTGTGATATATTAATAGCAAGGAAGAAAAGAAGACTAAGGCTATTGGCCTGAGCAACAGGGTGGATAATGACACTAGACAATGAGAAGGAAAGAAATTGATTTAATTATTCACTTATTTGTGTATTGATTAAGTTGTGGTAGAGTGTTGGCAGGGCTGGCTAAGAACATTTTTATAAAACTCCTTTCAGACCATGTTGAGTTTAAGATGGGACATCAAAGAAAGAAAATGCAAACTGATATGAAAGCAAGAGGTTAGGCAATGTATGTGCATGCGTTGGAGGGATGTGGGGAGGGGAAATCATAACCACTGGAATATTCTTCTCCTAGGAAGTCACAGGAGAGGGATGAGAGGCTGCTTCTGGGCTGCTTTGCCTCTCATGGCTCTGCATGGATGGCATGAGGCCAAACAGGAAGCCAACTGAGATAACAACTTCCTCAAGTGAGAGGTTACCAGAACACTGCTATCTCAGGTGCAAGCATCCAGTTAATAGTCCACAGTGCTGGAAAAAATAGCTGGTGAAAGGTCAGAGGCACAATTAAGAAATGCATGAGTAAAGAGTAAGTGTGCCATAGTTGACCAGAATCACAGTGTGATACCTGTCTGGAGAAACACAGCATGTATTGAACTTCTCATCTACTGAACACGTCCCAAAAGCCTTTAGTTGTTCAATGGGGACAGTTACTGTAAGAGTCCCTGGACTCTGGTGAGGGGGCATTGGGTGGTATCTAAAGGGGCATATAAGCCTCCTAATACTATATTGAAACTTTAATTACAGTAAAACATGGAGATTGTTAAAAATGCAGATTTCCAAACTTCACCACCAGAGGCTCTACTTTTTTTGGAAACAGGACCTCACTTTGTCTGGAGTGCAGTGGTGTGATCTTGGCTCACTGCAGCCTCAACCTTCCAGTTTCAAGTGAATTCTCCCACCTCAGCCTCCTGAGTAGCTGGGACTACAGGCATGCTCCACCATGCCCAGCTAAATATTTTGTACTTTTTGTAGAGATGGGGTTTCGCCATGTTGCGATCCACCCACCTTGGCCTCCCAAAGTAATCCCAAGAGTGCTGAGATTACTGGCTCTAATTTTATAGCTTTGGGGAAGAAACCAGAAATGGAGATTTTTAACAAACATTCCAGATGTCTTGATGCAAATGACCCACAGGTCACAGTTTGAGAAACTCTACAGCAAAGTGTTTCCCTCCCTCAGATGCTCATAAAATCATATTCCTATCTAATCGAAGCCACTAATGAAGTCTTTCTGGATTTAGTCCTCTTTAACTTTTTGACCTGTCTCAGTTATGTAAGCAGCATGGCATTTTAAGTCAGACCAATTAATCCTGATTCTGGAACCAGGTATGTGCCCATAGGTAAATTTCTTAATCACCCAAGCATCACTTCTTTCATCCCAAAATAGGGATGTGGTTGCATTTTATGTGCATCTGAATCATGACATTTGGAAATACCACTATATACAATATTAAGGAGGATGTACTTTATATGTTAAATTTGAAGGCATGTGAATCTCTTACATCTAAATTATACTCAGAAATCACAGTTTCAAAGCTAGTGTTCCAACTTGTTTCGTACATTTATAATATTGCCACATGAGAGTAGTGTGTTAGTAGGAAATAGAAATATTTTTGGTCATTAGCTTCTAAACCACTCTCCCTCAGAAGTTCCTAAGTGTGATTTTGATGACTCCTGTGCTGTTATTTTAATGACCACTATTGGTTAATTATGACCATGCTTCCCAGGGGTTCATTAAGTGGTAGTGTTAGTGGTAAAAATGAAAAAATTGTTAGAGCCAAGAACTTTTGAGAGAAGAAACAAAAGTTAGACACGACAAAAAGTTAGTATGTATCCATTCATTGTGTTTAAAATTGTTTTAAAACACAACATTAGATATAGATTTATAGGTTCTGAAAATACCTCCCTATGCGACATTTATTCCTATGGGAAAACTGATCCGGAATTAGGAAAGTTCTGAGTTATTTGATTATTTTGAAATATTCAAGGATCTTATCCTTGAATGTGACCGTCCTATAATAGTATTTCCTTTGCAGGTCTGTTGTGAGGATGAGTAAAGCACCTGATATAGGCTGTCTAAATGGGTTGTTAGGTTTGGAAATTTAGGGAAACACCTGTCACTGTTTCTCTATTCTCAAGAGGGGGAGCCTGTTTATTTTAAACCAGGGTGTTCTTACAAATTTGGGAGATATGAAGTTTTTAGAACAATATAAATTTCCTATTCAATATTGAGAGGTTCTTCCTGTCTCTCTTTTTCACAGCCTCCTCAGACACCGCCCCCACAAGGATTTGATGAATTACCTAAAAGTCACCAAGGGAGCCTGATTGAAACCCTCAACTCTGTATTATTAGGCCGTCTAGAAGTAGATGAGTCTAATTTTCTTTCTCATTTTCTGTAATTTTGATCAGACGCTTCTCTACTTTGCATTCGATTAGTCAAAGCTAACAAGTCACTTCTGAGGAAATTACTGCTTTAGAAATACTTTTTATAAAATTCAATCACTATTCTTGTACCCTGACTCACATTTTTTTCCTACTACAAGACTAGAGTCATCTGAATTGCCTGAAAACTTGGCAGCTCTAAAGGGTAATTATTCTCACTTTTGGACTTGATCCAATACAGGAAACAATAAAAGACTTCCAGAAGGTTTCCAAGCCCAGCTGTCTCTGACACCACTCCTCATTCTGCAAAAATACTGGAATGAGTTTTTTAGTTTGCACCTGTCATTAATGTCACAGTAGAGACACTGGCCCTTACCTTGTTCATACAATTACTTAAACCACATCTACATTTTTAGATCAAGAAACATTTAAAACTTCTGGTGGAATGAAGGAGTAATTTTTTTTAAATAGCTCCTGTTACCTAAAATAAAATTGTAAAAAAAAAAAAAACCTCCTATTTTCTAGTTGGTTTTCAGCACAAAATACTTCCAATCAAAGAGATTTCTGGTAGCTTTGTCTAGTCAAAAGATGGTTCATTTTGTCCTTAACAATTAGAGTCAATTTGGCTCTGTCTTTTCTTTTTTCAGATTCCGGCCTTCGTGAAGGTTACAAATACGTGGTTTTACTACATTTTTGAAGAGTGTTTTAAATTGCAAATGTATTTAGAATTTATAGAACATCAAAGGATTTTTCCTGTAAAAGAAACAAGAAATAATGGATAGCAAAGCCAAGGTGACCTTGACCCTCAGTTTGGAAACTTCCAGGCCCTTCAGTCATTCCCAAAGGTTTTGGTGAACTGTGCACACACAGAGTGTGTTCTCACCAAAGCCAAGCACAGAGCGCTAATTAGAGTATTGTAGCTTATACATTTTCCGGGAGTGAAAATGAGAATAAACACTAATTCTATCAAAGGGCTGGGTGCAGATAACCCCAAGTGAAAACATGAGGAATTCCTTGGGCATACAGTACACTCCTCTTACCCAACGGGGACACATTCCAAGACCCCTGGAGGATGCCTGAAACCCACCAATTGGGACACATTTCTGTTCATGTCTTCCACCCACAGATTTAATGGCTTTTCCATTTTAATAAGCACTGTGGCCGTAAGTCTTGCAGCTGGAGGTGCAACAGCAAAACTAGCATGGATTTCTGTTTCCTTCTCGAAAATTTCATGTATAGAAGATTTGTTTTCACCATAGATCTTGGCAACCTTAACATATAGTATTTTTTTCCTTACTAAGTTGAAACCTTTCACCTTTTCTCTTAAAGCACTTTCTGGCTTCTCTTTGGCATATCCAAGTAGCCAGCATCACTATTGCACTTGCAGGTCATATTAAGTAAAATAAGAGTCACTTGAACACAAGCACTGTGACACAAAGACAGTCTGATCACCAACAGGGCTACTAAGTGACTCACAGGTGTGAATCTGCTTGATAAAGGAAGGATTCATGTCCTGAGAGGGACGGAGTGGTGTGATGCAGTATTTCATCATGCTAGTCAGAATGGTGCACAACTTAAAACTGTATAAATTGTTTGTTTCTGGAATTTTCCATTACAGTTACCACCGGTAACTGAAACCACAGAAAGTAAAATCGTGGGTAAGGGAAACTACTGCACTCGTGTTTCATTGTAGGGACTAGAAGTGAGCTAGATCTTTTGCAACAAATTTCTTGGTCCTCCAAAAATCAGATCTACCCATGTCTTTTTAACTTTGTGTTATTTACTTTCTTTCTCTTTCCAGCAAATGTTACTCCGACAGCTATTTCAAGTGATGAGCATACATTTATTTTAGGATAAAATGCTTAAATAGGCAAAATTAATAATGAAATAGAAGCTCTGTCTTCTCTTCATGAACAAGTGTGGAGACGGTAGTGTATAAAAACGTGCATTCAGCTTAATATAACTACAGTTGGCCTTCAAACAACATAGGTTTGAACCACTCGGGCCCACTTGTACTCAAATTTTGTTCAACCAAACATGGTATTCCTAGGATGTGAAACCCACCAATACAAAGGGCTGACTTTTCATATATGTAGGTTCCTCAGGGCTGACTGCAGGCTTGAGTCTGTGCAAATTTTAGTATCCTGGGTGGTTCTAGACCCAATCCCCTATGTATACTGAGGGATGACTGTACATACAGACAGCTTATAAGCCTGGAATTGATTTCCATGGGCAGTTTCAGAAAATGTGGAACAATGTCAAACTTCTGGATTTCCTGATAATTGAAATTCACTCCTAAGAGATAGCATGCTATTTTTGAGATGCAGGCAGAAGATCAGGACACTAGTTGGCTAACATTGTCTATGAAATATATGAGATCCTTGCCCAATGAGAGCTTATGGGTAGATGGGCCAACTTTTCTTCTTGTCAAAGCAGCTCATTGTTGCCTCAAGATAGCAAGTCACCTATTTAAGAGAGGCAGTGCTCCAACGGAAAGACCTCAGGGCTGCATAATCACAGCCACAATGGTGATGATGGAGGTGGGGAAGGAAAAGAAAGAGGAGGAAGGAGAGGATGAGCAGAATAGTTACTTAGGTATCCAGAGGGCACATACCTCTTCAGCAGATAACTGTGTTGGAGCAATTTTCTTTGTATTACACAGCAGGCTTTAGGGTTTATTCCTGGGATTCTATTCTGAGGTTTCTTAAACCTCTCTGAGCCTAGGTTTTCTCATTTGTAAAATGAAAATAAAGTACATACCTCAAGGCAGTCTTGAAAGTTAGATAAGACAATATATTAAGAGCTTAATACAGTGCCAGGCACCAATGAATGATGTCTATTGTTAGTGTTAGCATTATACCGAAACATAAAATTCTCTCAAATCTTTTTCTCACTAATTCCTCATAAAACAGCTAAATCTTGTGTTGAGGTGGGTGTTTAGACTGTGTATGGAGAAGGGTGACTTTTTTTCTGTGGGTTCCTTTTGAGCAGCAAGATTGATAACTAATCATTTACCATTTATCTACATGTAAACCTTCTATACATTAACACAGAAATAAAAGTAGGCACCCTCTATTCATATTTTTGTCAACCATAACCCTTAAAAGATGCAATTTATGCCATCCTCAATAGCATTGTATATGTAAAGAAATCCAGTCATTGACTGACTTGAGATGTGACTCACACTTGGTGCTGGACCTGGGCATGCAGGAACACAAGAGTGACAGGGCTCCTCCTCATTAGGGCCACAAGAGGTAGGCCTTCCAGGAACTTACAGGAAAGTTTGACTTTCTTTTTTTTTTTTTTTTTTTTCATGAGACGGAGTCTCGCTCTGTCGCCAGGCTGGAGTGCAGTGGCATGATCTCAGCTCACTGAAACCTCCGCCACCTGGGTTCAAGCAATTCCCCTGCCTCAGCCTCCCAAGTAGCTGGGATTACAGGTGTGCACCACCATGCCCGGCTAATTTTTGTATCTTTAGCAGAGATGGGGTTTCGCCATGTTGGCCAGGATGGTCTCAATCTCCTGACTTTGCGATCCACCCGCCTCGGCCTCCCAAAGTGCTAGGATTACAGGCGTGAGCCACCACTCCTGGCCGAGAGTTTGACTTTCATACTTTAGAAATTCAGATTCAATTTTATTTGTAATTTTACCTTATGTGTGAATGCATAGGAAGAAATACAGAAGGTATTATAAAGGTATGGCAGAAAGAGGATCAATACAATATTCACAGGTTCGGCAAATGGAGAGAAACAGACATAGCCAACTTAATAAATACATGAGGCAGAAGATGTTTGTTTGCTTTTACTTTTAATGACTTCAAACTTTAACCTAGTTCTACTCTATCAATTTAAGGATCCATGTCCTTAAGGAGAACAGAAAATTACACACCTATTCTAGAGGTGTCAATTAGATTAGAACACACCCCAGAGTGATTCCTTCACTCCAAGGTTGATGGAAGATGGGTTTGGTCTCAGTAAACATGTATAAGGTGGCAAAAATCAGTTTGAGGAGTTAAACTGAAATCTCTAGAGGTAGGCTGTCTGTTCACAACTGGAAAAGTACTAGAGTTTTAACTATATTCCTTTTAAAGGCAGAAATTAGATTTTCTTCTCCACTATCCTCTCCTGAGCTCTGTGCCCTTGTCCTGGAAAGTTAGTTTCTTTTTCCTGCTTTGCTTTTTACCTACCTATCTATCTGCATTAAGCTAGCATAAACTCCAACTTAAAGCTGAACGCCTTCAGAGAAACCACATCCCTGCCCCCTGCATAAGAGAATGCTGAATAACTAATGATTCATAATTTCTTCAATTCATAAGCAATTCTATTAAACTGCATTGAAAATTTCTGCTCCAGTTCCGGGTTAACACAAATACCAGCTACATTAATCACCCCGCATATCCATTGCTAAGTCAATGGTGCTCATCCACATCTCAGAACAAAAAATACAAAAAGCCACCCCTCTGTCTACTATTGTACCATTAGTAGTCAAATGAAAGGAGCAAAAGAAAATCGTTGCTTTATAAAGTTGTTAGGAAATTGCAATGTGCAAGGAATGAAGTATTATGCCCCGGATCAATCAATCATTTTAATTACATAGATTTGATTCTAAATCCCAGGGCTCTGGAAACTGTAAGAATGATCTAGGATAACAATGAATACAGTGAGGATTGCTTGCACAGCCTCCAGCCAGCATAACAATTTAGTTATAAGTGATAACAAGAAGGGATCAAACAGTCAGCACCAATTCTCACTTAACAAATTTTTGAAACACATGCTAGGAAACGAGTTTCAAGGAGTGCTAGCAACCAGTGAAATTAGTCCATTTACTAGTAGCTCTGGCTAACAAGAGTTGCCGGTTTCAAGGAAGAAACAAGAGCTCCCTATGTCATATGCAAAATCAAGTCAGATCTGGGACATCTGTCAATACCCTAGTATCATCAAAAACAGATGACAGTTACTATTTAGAGCTTTGATTAAAACATGGAGAATAAAAATTGACAGCTTTCAGGAAAGAACTGTCAATGCTTTCAAGGCCGAGGTCATAAGAGGCCTGTAAGAAGTTTCATATGGGAAAAGCATTTATATGTAGGAAAATGATTTTCATTGCTCTAACAACAGCATATAACCATACGGCGGGTGACCAATTTCTCTTTAATGAACACTAATACCACTCTTCTCTACCATCCTCCACTCATATCCACACTTTAAGGACATGTGGACTATCAGGGGAAGGAATACTCATCTCGCAATGTTTCAGTTAATTCTCTGCTCACTAATGAGAACGACCAGAGAAGAAAAGTCTAGTATTTTTCCATGTTATTCTCTTTAATGTTTCCTTCAGCTAATCTATAAGTGTGGCTACAGTATTTTATTTATGGACGTCAGCATCATTTGAAGCATTCCAGATTATGCAATTAGGCAATTTCATTAAAAGTTCATTCCTTAAGTCTGAAGAATTTTTTAAGGATTCAATTTTTAGTTCGAAATCTTGTAGTACACACACACACACACACGTGCACACATCCCAAACCCTGCCAAACAAGGATCTGTGGAGGATTTATGAGATAACATGAAGTTTATACAAACTGTAATCCCTAACTATGTCTTAATTCAAAACAATCCTTAACAAATGCCTGCAGGTGTTATTATACTTACATCTAAGTATATTACATCCTAAACTAACACGCAATCTCTTCTAGAATGCTCATTTTATATTTCAACCAAGTTTCAAAAGAGCTATGGTATTCCAGCTATTTAAATACTATCCCATTTTGGTAAAACGATTTAAAGAATCTTACATGTCAGCTGTTTCAAGTTGTTATAGCACCTGTAATGCAAAGATATTACAGAAGTCATATTTTTGTCCACACTCAAATGTATTAACTGCATTACAGAGAATTAAAATTATGATAAAAGAATCTCAAGTTTAACATTAAATTATGAGGCACCAAAATATTAACAGTAAATATCTGTGAGAACTGGGATAAAAAGTCTATGTATGTGATTTTGTGGTTTTCAGTTTTGATGCAGAGAATCCTATCTTTTATAAATAGAAAGGAAAATTACTTAATCAAAAAGTGACCACTGGACAGATTTTCTAATTGTACATAAGCAATTCAAGTCATATAAGGTTATCAAGTCAACCATAGTTCCTGTGAGAATGAGAAGCCACCCTTTGCCTATACATAAACTTGCAGTTCTTTGTCATATTTGCATATATCACTCACTGTTATTTTCTTGGAAATAGGTGAAATTCCAGGTAGTTCTTGAATTCAAGAGAAAAGCTGGAAAATTTTCCTATTTCCACCTTTGAAAATAAATGTAGACAGTTGCTAGTAAGTCTCTTCATTTCCCTTATTACTTTTTTAAAGAGCACCTACTTAGGCACTAGAAACACAGCAGGAAATCAGACAGACAAAAATCACTGCCCTCATGGAACATAGAGTGCAGTGGGACGAGACAGATAATGAACCACAGAAGTAATACATACAGTGGGCTGGAATATGACAGGCGTTAAAGGGAAAAATAAGAAAAGGCAATTACAAGCATGGATGGGAATATTGTGATTTTGGATAATGGAGGCTAGGGAAGGTCTCATCAAGGCCAAATGTGAGCAAAATTCTAAAGGAGGTGAGGAACAAGCCATTAGAATATCTGGGTGGGGCTGGTATGGTGGCTCACGTCTGTAATCCCAGCATTTTGGGAAGCCAAGGCAGGCAGATTACTGAGGTCAGGAGTTTGAGACCAGCCTGGCCGACATGGCAAAAGCCCGTCTCTACCAAAAACACAAAATTAGCCAGGTGCGGTGGCATGCGTCTGTAGTTCCAGCTACTTGGGAGGCTGAGGCAGGAGAATTGCTTGAACCCAGGAGGTGGAGGCTGCAGCGAGCCAAGATTGTGCCACTGCACTCCAGCCTGGGCAATAGAGCTAAACTCCATCTCAAAAAAAAAAAAAAATCTGGATGGGCCAGATGCAGTGGCTCACACCTGTAATCCCAGCACTTTGGGAGACTGAGGCAGGAGGATCCTTGAGCCCAGTAGTTTCAGACCAGCCTGGACAACACAGTGAGACTCTGTTTCTATTTTACTTAAAAAGAAATATATATATATATATATATATATATATATATATATATAATATATATAACATAATATATATTACATATAAAATATATGTAATTATAATATATAATTATATATACATATATATAATTAAAAAAGAATACCTGGGTGAGGAGTGTTCTGGGCAAGGGAAGAGCAAATACAAGGGCCCTGAGGCAGAGGCCTTGTGACCATGTTTGAGGAACAGCAAGGAGGCAAGAGTGGCTGAGGAGAGGGAAGAGAAGAGGTCAAAAACTAAGGGCCAGGCTGTGTAGGGCTTTGTAGGCCATTGCAGGCTCCTGACACTACATAACATCAGTCTTTGATTTCTTGATGCATGTATGCATGTTCACAGGTAAAGACTGACGGAATGCAATGAAGACTGGACTAGGGCATGTCTAGGGCAGTTGATGCAAGAAATACAGAGTGAAAAAGTGAAGTGACTGGAAATGATAATCACATATGACTGCAAAACTGGCAGGTGTGAGATTTGTATTCATTAATTCAACAACTATGTATGCACTTGGTGTTCCAAGGACAGCAAGACACAATTCTTGCCCCAAGAAATTCATAGTCTACCAAGAAGTACATCAGTTAAGGCAATATATAGTCTGGTTAAATGAACTACCAGCAAGTTCAGTGGAGCTGAGATATGGGCTGAAATGATCAGATAAGCCATTATAGAGAAGGAATTTTAAGTTAAGTCTAAGCAATAACTAAGATTTACAGAAAAACAAATAGAGGAAGAATGGAGAAAGAGTAAGTGCAGCGTGTTCAAAGACATGAAATTAGGCCTGGCTGTGGTGGCTCACACCTGTAATCCCAGCACTTTGGGAGATTGAGGTGGGCAGATCACCTGAGGTCAGCAGTTCGAGACCAGCCTGGCCAACATGGCAAAACCCCATCTCCACTAAAAATACAAAAATTAGCTGGGCGTGGTGGCACACGCCTGTAATCCCAGCTATTTGGGAGGCTGAGGCATGAGAATCACTTGAACCCAGGAGAAAGAGGTTGCAGTGAGCCTAGATCGCACCACTGCATTCCAGCCTGGGTGAAAGGGCGAAACTGTCTTTAAAAAAAAAAAAAAAAAAGGCATGAAATTAGGAATGGGCAAGGTGTGTCTGTTTTGCAGGAAAAGATTCGATATACCATGTTGGCTTGGATAGAAAAGTTTGCATAGGGCAGTGGTAAAAGGTGAGTCAAGGCAAGATTGTACATTTTTATGGTGAGATTGAGGTTTTAATGTATAAGCAAAAGAGTTTTAATTAAGGTTTAAACAGGGAAACAATATGCTATGTAGAATATCCTTGGGTAGAGGAAACATTTGAAGGACAGCAACTAGTGGTTGCAAAACTGAAGATGTGAACTGACAAAGACCATAATTGGAGGGTCCAGGGTGGAACAGGTGTAGTCAGCTACCTAAGAGATTCTGAGAATTGATACAACTTGGTGACTGGGTAAAGGAGATTTGCATACATAACTTAGAATGACTTAAAGATGTTCATTAGGAAAATTGTGATAAACTTCAATGAATAAAGGAATATCAAAAGGAGAACCAGTTTGGATATTTTAAATCTGAGTGATGATGTGTCAAACGTTTGGAAATATCACAGACAGGCAGAGCAAGTTTTAGTCAAGAGGTCAATCCTAAAAATAAGAATTTGTTAGCAGTTAATTGTCAAATAATCCATGGTGTTCTTCCTTTTTCTTTTTTATTGAGCCAACACAATTTCTCAGTGGGTTATAAATAGAATAACTGTTTTATTTATCATCCAAATTGGGACATTTTTGAGAGTGAAGAAGGAGCTATTAATAATTACACTGAGACAACGTGCATAAAACTAAAGACTGTCCTGAGCAGACCAAGTTGCATGGACCCCAGTTAAAAATTCCATCTTACTTTTAAAAGATAGAAAGTTGTCAATTTCTTATTTTTATTATAGCTCGTGGTTTCTCAAAAGGGGTCAAGAATTCAGTTAGGGTCACTTTATTTTGATTTGAGACTGGAAAGACTGAGCTCTGGCAAAGGATGCAGTTTTAGACATCTAGAAAACAAAGAGAATGTTAATGAAGTAGCTTATGTCATATAACTCCACTATTACCTACTCATGATGCTCCTGGCATGGTTAATGAAGCATGGAGGTTTTATTCAAGGGGGTGGGTGGGGATCTGAGCTAGTCTGGGTTGACATTGGAATTTCTGATGTCAGGTCCCAGTTGAAGCAGTATTTTACTTGAGCTGTCTCTGATGTCAGGGGGATAGAAAAAATTCCTGGTGAGCAGGAAGAAGAGTGTATAAAGGGTAACGGGATTTGTGTGTATATATACCATGTGCAGGTACAGAAAGAATTTTCTTTATCCTGTAGCTGCAATTTGTTAGGTAGTTATGTTACTGCATGTATAGGTCATCAGAATAACAAAATTGATATTAATATAATAAATAGCTGCAATTTGTTAGGCAGTTATGTGAATGTGTGTATAGGTTAACAGACCAACAAAATTGGTATTAATAACAAAACTGAACAGGATAATAACAAAACTGAACAGGATAACTGAACAGGGGTATCCTGCAGCTCTCAGATTGAAAGGGATTCAAATACAACTCAAAATGCTTAACATGGCTGGGCGCAGTGGCTCACCCCTGTAATCTCAGCACTTTGGGAGGCCGAGGTGGATGGATCACCAGGTCAGGAGTTCAAGACCAGCCTGGCCAAGATGGCGAAACCCTGCCTCTACTAAAAATACAAAAATTAGCCAAGCGTGGTGGCGGGTGCCTGTAATCCCAGCTACTCAGGAGGCTGAGGCAGAGAATTGCTTGAATCAGGGAGGTGGAGGTTGCAGTGAGCCAAGATCGTGCCACTGTACTTCAGCCTGGGTGACAGAGCGAGACTCCATCTCCAAAAAAAAAAAAAAAAAGCTTAAGAAATCCTCTACCCCACTACCTTTCAGACTAGACATTGTTATCTCCAGTTGTAAAAATGTTAGCAGGGTGTCCTTCATCAAGGAAAGAAGCCAACTCCGGCAGTGCTAAGTAAATGGAAGGATTATTTTTCCTGTGGCAATGGGCTTTTTTAACTTTACTATTTTATTAAGATTTTTGCCTTGAACATTTGTTGGGCTTTTAAATAATAATACAGTGTGGGTGCTTCACTTTTCTCTTGGTGCAGAGGGAAACAAAATATGTTTTGGTGTCATTTTGTGACCTGACCTTTCAAACAGTCAGTGTGCTGGAGATGTTATCTAGGTGTGTGTTATTCCTAGTCTCAGTTATTTTATGTCTCAATAAATTATTATATTATTATGTTTATTATAAAACATAATTGCTCCAGCAATTTAGTTTTAAGAAAAATCTGATTCTCCAAAGAAAACTGTCTTATACTCTGCCTTCAGAAAAAAAAAAAAAGGATTTCCTATATATCCATTAATTTTACTTTTAGAAGAATAGGAGAAGCTGTAATTTACAAATATGGCATTAGAAGCAAGGCATTGGAGTCAGCAATTTCTATGGTTCTTTGATAAAATGACACCAAAATAGGAGGCTAAGGGAGTTACGAAGTATTGGTATAGAAAATGTGACATTTTACATTTTCGAGTAGGCTAAAGATAAAACAAAAACAGGTTTTGATAAAACAAATAATTAAATGCACAATATCTGACCTGCATCGTATCTGTCTACAAGTTAGAAACATTAACCGTGATAGATTCTTCAAGAGTTGAACACGGACAGAAAAGAAAAGTCCCCCAAATCATCCTTCCAGCAAAATATACACACTTAACTGAGGGATACCGTCAAAAAAAAGGGGGAAACAAAAGCTATTCTTCATTCTAACTATAAACCGATCATTATTGGGTGGGATAGGTAGAGAATGAGGACCAATAAAGTACAACATTTGTGTTTTGATATAAACTTGCTTTACTTATGCACCACCAGTATGACCTGAATCTTATATCATGGCTACAATTGTTGCTCTTTCTTTTAACAAACCAAATGTCATTAATTGCATTCAACTTTGCTTTTTTATAGCCATACTTTTTATCAAAGCTATTTTTCCCTGGTTTGACCATTTTGTAATAACATGTTGTAACATGTTACTACATGTAATGAAATGTTACAAAAGGAATTGAAGCCCCCTTTGGACTCTCTCTGGTCGTATTTCTCTCCTTCCCTTCCCCTAAACAGAGATAATTACTATCCTGAGGTTTTCGTGCATATTTTAATACTTTTACTACATATATATTCATAAATGTAGTATTAACGAGTTTTTAAAATTTTCATAAATGATTTTACACTTCCAGGATTATTTCCCAGCTTGCTTTTTTATTACTCAGCATTATGCTTTCCAATTTTGCTTGTTACTTCTGCCCTTTTGGTGTTACATTTAAAAATCTGACATTTATAATGCGTTTTTCATAAAGTAGGAGCTTTTGTCCTATGACACTTAAAGCTTATGGATCCATTTATTTTATATAAATAGTATCAGTACAATCATTGTCATCATCATTGTTTTTGTGGATTAAGATGGGCAATTTTGGCAACCATAGGAAAAAAACTAAGACACTTATGACGGTCTTATGTACAAACTGATTTCATTGTTCTAAAATTTGTCATTTTCATTGTACCATCATTTTATAGGTCATTCATGTCCTCATTCCTTCCATATAGGTTAAGAACTGTCA
Organism: Homo sapiens; assembly: GCF_000001405.40. Classification (NCBI taxonomy): domain Eukaryota; kingdom Metazoa; phylum Chordata; class Mammalia; order Primates; family Hominidae; genus Homo; species Homo sapiens. Next base: position 110,099,084 of record NC_000004.12, read on the forward strand.
TGTTTTTTTCACTTGAACAGCTTCAGTTAGTTTTATTATATACTTGTTGGCTTTAGAAATAAGGTAATTGCCAATAATTCTTCAGATATTAAACACTAAATTTGTTTATGATATCAGTGGGAAACAGATCTCAAATGATTTGATTAAATACCATTCATCTACTGCTTGCACTGTTAAGACTTTTCTGAAAGTTTCCTGTGCTATATTTAAGCACTTTGTTCATAAGAATCCCACAAAAGAAAAAAAGAGAATAATTTTCTACTAATCTTGAATATATTTCATACTTAAGCCAGAGAAGAAATTTAATAACAAAATGAAAATATAGCCAGGAAATTACAATGAGGTTCAACAGGAAAAACTGGTGGTTAATAGGCAAGAAGTCAAACTATAAAGTGTAGAACATCTGGATTTGTGCAAATCAAGCAAAAACAATTGAGGCCAGAGTAATCACCAGGAAAAGGAGTAAGCAAAGGTGAAGCAAGTGTGATATTTGCACCTATAAATTTTTAACACCAAATTATCTTTTTATAATGTACACTAACTAGACATCCTGCTTTGATCTGTGTTAGGTCAAGAACCTCAAAGATGGCTTCTTGGAACTCCTTATGCTGCTGATGAAAAGAAAACACTGCCAGACAGGTAACTGGTAGAGGCTCCTTGAATCAGAAGCACACACACCTGGACCCAATCTAGAAGGATGGAAAACTTTTTCAAATCAACTGTAGTAACCCAGCTGACATGTCATAGCAACATGATTGAATGACTCAGGAGTGTCTGTGAAGAACAGGGGATAGGCACCTTGAAGTATCTGATGCTCTGTTGCCATATCAAAGTTGGATAACTTAGCCAAATCTAACTTCTTTGCCACCAGGAGCAATCTCATCTAAAAGTCTTACTGATTCACATAACCAGAATTGTTCTCAGCATTTACCCTAAGGAAATGTTCAAACACCCATGGATAAATGCCACATAAAATTATCTTATCAAATACAGAAATGCCTGTCCTTGGGTTAGGTGGGATGTAGGTGGAAGTTGGTCACTATGCCATCATACTGGCCATATTTATAAAGATTAATTGACACCAGGACCTGGTGATTTGGTTCTGAAAAAGGGAGCCTGGAGGAATCGTGGGGAGAGATTTTCAGGGAAACCCAGAGAAATCTTCCTCAAATGAAATGATCCATTATAGGCCTAAGGAAAACTCAACTGGCCATATTTTGTTTACTCTAGCAAAGCTTATGATAGGTTTCAATAAATTACCACCTGAATGAAGACTTCTGTCTCCATGAAGGCTGCTTCAGTCAGCCCCCAAAAATAAAGAGAAAAACTGCAGGCAATTCTTGCAAACAATATTAAAACCCCATCACTTTTTGAAATAGACTGGTTTGAAGAGGTTTCTTTTGTTTGTTTTTTTTTAAGTATGCTGCAGATATGATTTAATTCCCATAATGTTGTCTCAGTTCATGAGTGAACAGTGTATGGCATCTGGAAATTAAGCATAACTGGGTCCCTGGCTACAGTTAAGAGCTAACAGGCAACCTTGAGGACTTGAGGGAAAAGAAATTATTCCTAAGCAGTGAAATACACAAAAATTCCTCTTTTTGGTGATTTTCCAAAAGAAAAATTTACTTCTTCTGAAATGTTTGGTTCTTTCTCTTTCCTTCATTTTCTAAATTGATTACGCTATGGTGGCAAAGGACGGGGAGATGGAGTGGGCGATAGGCCCTTGGGCCATCACCTCATTGCAGACCATCTAATAGAGGAACTATCTCCTGAGCAAAGAATTTCTATATTTTTGTCATTAGACAATAGTTGAAAATGCATGAATTATAGTGTAAGAGCCACTCAAAACTTTCTACAAAAATATATCCTTTATAATAATGAAGTTTTCATTTATGACCAAAATAGAAAATTTCTTAATACTCATTAAAACAACTGTTTGTGAAAAGCAGTTTTTTGTTTGTTTGTTTGTTTTTGAGACAGTCTTGCTCTGTAGTCCAGGCTGGAGTGCAGTGGCACAATCTCAGCTCACTGCAACCTCCACCTCCAGGGTTCAAACGATTATCCTGCCTCAGCCTCCCGAGTAGCTAGGATTACAGGCATGTGCCACCATGCCTGGCTAATTTTTGTAATTTTAGTAGAGACAGAGTTTCACCACGTTGGCCAGGCTAGTCTCGGACTCCTGACCTCAGGTGATCTGCCCACCTCAGCCTCCCAAAGTGCTGGGATTACAGGTGTGAGCCACCACGCCTGGCCAGAAGAGCATATTTTTGATGAATGTTTTATATCAACTTCATTCATGAAATATTTGGATTTCAAAAAAAAAAAGCAACTACTCACTTGAAATTCTACAGAATTGTGTAGGAGATTAGATATGAACATGTGTACGTATATTTTAGGAAATGTGTTAAATGCAGAAAAACACAAACAATAATAAATGGCCAATATGCAAAATTGAGAGTTGTCCACATGATTATATTTGCTTCATTTGTTCTGAATAACACATCACAAATTTTTTTTCTTCTAAATTGCCAGTCCACACCAACCAACCTGTACAAATGCTGAAATTTTTTATTTATCCATTTATTCATTCGTTCATTTATTTTTTGAGACAGGGTCTCACTCTGCTACCCAGGTTTGAGTGCAGTGGTGCTAAAATGGCTCAATGCAGCCTCAGCCTCCCCTGGCTCAGGTGACCCTCCCACCTCAGCCTCCCAGGTAGCTGGGACTACAGGTGCGTGACACCATGCCTGGCTAATTTTTGTACTTTTTGTAGAGATGGGGTTTTGTCATGTTGCCCAGGCTGGTCTTATTTTCTAATAAATCATAGGAATTTAATAAATAAGACATCTTCTCTGCTTTTGCCCCCCAAAAAGTAAAAAATTGAGTTTATTTTCTTCTAGTATCTCTATAAATATTTTTATATTAAAAGTATCATTGTGTAGTTAGCCTTTTTACTTCCATGCATTGTTGACTAGCATTCTTTAAGCATAGAGAAATCTCAATATGTTCTTCCAAACACAGAAGCATAGCATTCCATTATCAATGTTTCCCAAATTCTGGCTTAAAAAAATTAAGATCCACTTTTTAAAACCTTAGACTGCAGATGCTTGGATTTTTCTATATAGTTCTGGATTTTTAAATTTTATACAAAACATGGCTCTGAAGAAAGTAAAATAACAGAATTTTAAATGAAAGAGAACACAATAATTTGTCAGTCTAAAAAAGATAAAGTATCACCACTGACTTCTGCATGTGCATTGCAGGATAAAGTAAATGGGGAGTTACTGGCCAACACTGGGAATTTGGATTTTTGACCCGAGAGGAAGGAGAAATAAAAGTTAAGTCATAAGAATGGTAAAGATTGTTTGTGACTAGCTAGGGCAACATAGTGAAACTCCATCTCTACCAAAACAAATATAGAAACTAGCTGGCCGTGGTGGTACATGCCCATAGTCCCAGCTACATGGGAGGCTAAGTTAGTAGGATCACTTGAGGCTGGAGAGGTTGAGGCTGTAGGGAGCCGTGATTGTGCCACTGCATTCCAGCCTGGGTGACAGAGTGAAATCTTGTCTCCAAAAAAAAAAAAGTAAAGATGATAGATTATATATGTATATTTTACCTCAATAAGTAAATTTCCACTTCTGGCTTTTTTAAAGACTTAAATATAAGAACTTACTCAGCACCAACAACCACCTTTAGTACCCAGACAGTGGTTTCTAAATATTATCTTCTCTCCACCATAGGAATTAGGGCTCTGATATGGTTCAGCTGGGTCCCCACCAAAATCTCAACTTGAATTGTATCTCCCAGAATTCCCACGTGTTGTGGGAGGGATGGGGGACGGGGGGCGGGTAGGGGGTGGGGAGGGGCGGTAATCGAATCATAGGGGCTGGTCTTTCCCGTGCTATTCTCATGATAGTGAATAAGTCTTATGAGATCTGATGGGCTTATCAGGGGTTTCCACTTTTGCTTCTTCCTCATTTTTCTCTTGCCTCTACCATGTAAGAAGTGCCTTATACCTCCCGCCATGATTCTGAGGTTCCCCAGCCATGTGGAACTGTAAGTCCAATTAAACCTCTTTTTCTTCCCAGTTTCGGGTATGTCTTTTATCAGCAGCATGAAAACGAACTAATACAGGCTCTTTGGAGAAATGGCTGATTCCAGTTCTGGACAAGAAATATACAACATGCCTGGCCTGGTATCTTGTAATTAAAGAAAAAAAAATCAAACTATCACCATCAAAAGGAATAGCAATGGACTTAAAACACATCAAAATCATATCTCAAAATCACTGGCATATGAAAAAGTACATATCCATAAGTTTATAATGATTCTTAAGAAAACAAATCTTATTGTTTACATGCTAACTAACTTAAAAAAAAAACCTGATGAATATAGACAAAGAATCAAGCATTTATCCTAATCTTTGCTATAATAACTGTATATACTTCAAGATAACCGAATAGTTGATAAAGGCAAGTTTCTTCTTATAGAAAGCCTCTTCAAATATTACACCTGAATGTAATAAACCTTCTAGATCTAACTACAACTTATAAGAAATAGAAGGTACAGAAAAATGCAATCAAGCAAAATCCAGGCCAGAGGAAGCTCTATGGGGTAAACTATCTGGTTTCTTCAAAGGATGAATCATAAGGAAAAAGAGGAAATCTATAAGCCAAAAGATATCAGTTAATGGAAGTGTAAAGATCTCATTTTGATCTAGGTTCTTAAACTGTAAAACAGGAATCATTTATGAGACAACTGAAGAAATTTGAAATTTAATAAGAACAAATTATTAATTTAGGTGAGATCATAATACTGTGTTTGCTTTTAAAGAGTACTTAACCTTTAGCCATGGTATGATTTCAATAAGAATTATTTCAGCCTCTATTATTAATAGTTCCAAATAATTTGGGGATGAGAAACAAGGTGAGCAAGATTAAACGAAGTAAAATCAGCCAAGTGTTGACAATTGTTTAACCAAGGTAGGGGTTGCAGGGGAGTCATTGTACTTTTTTTCTCCGCTTACAAGTGTTAAAATTTAAAATAACAAAAGATAAAGGTGCAGGGAATATTGAAAAATCAGTAAAATGGTGAAAGGCTTCATTAGGATAGAGATAAATTCCCCACAAATATCAAAATACTTCAGGTGAGGCATACTCTGTCAACCTTAAATGTAAATAAAAATGAAAAGCCTTCTTTATATTATAGAGAATCATGATCTGATACAGATTGAACTGGAAGGAGATTTTAGTGACAGATCCAAATCATGAGTACTTCAAACCTAGGGCTTTAGAAATTGCACTGAAATAAAAAGTATATTCAGTAGTGGTGAGTAAGTGGGTGTTTTAGATGGAGGGATCCAACATTATGGAAAAACACAGATCATAAGAGTTTAATGGAAATACTCTTCCTCAGTCATTTTTAATAAGCTTTAAGTAACTAATGAAGCTTTAATGATAACATCCATTTCTGCTTAGAACAGTTAATATATGAAAAAATACAAATGAATATTTATAAATATGAAAATTAATAGTTTTGTGTTTCATAGTATATCTACATTTACTCCGCTCCCGTTCCTCCCCAAGCCTAGTTATGAACTTGCTGGTTTTGACAAGCAAAACACAAATAGAACAGGTGCCTTTGTTAGCACTCTAGGTAAATCCTGGCACTTGCTTGGACACCAGCTGGGTGCTAATTAGTCTTGTGATTGCCTAGATCACAAAATAATACAAGACTGGAAATGCTCCTGAAAGCTTCTGGAGGAATGAGTCTGCACACCAGCTGACAGATGCCCTGAGAGAACAGGCCTTGTCCTGACAGTCTCTGTGTTGAGTTCTTTCACATTTACAAAGCCAGAGCTGGCTACATAAACACATGTCTGCAAGTCAGTTCGGGGAATGAGGGTGGAGGGTGCTTTTGAAGATGCAGAGCAAAAGCATTCTCTGGTCTAGCAATACTGACACAGATGTCCAGTGTCTGGTCTATGTCTAAGTGTCATCTTTTGATTAAGTGTTAGGAACAGCACACCCAGGGTATTTGAACCCTGTTCTCCAATAGACTTCAACAGGTTACTTGTGTGCCTTCCCATTTAACCTTTCATCTATATTTAGCCAATAACAATAATGAATTGCTGTACTGCTTCTCATCCTAACAGATCAATCAGATTACTGCATGACCAATTTGGACAGGACAAGAGATGGCCTGACACCTCTCAAAATATATAAGGTTGAATACATCATGGCAAATGGTGGCAGTGAAGGCTTTCTTTCTGAACATGACTTTATTTTATGTCCTCATCATATTCAATAATCAAAAATATCAGATTTAAAATCAAATGCTCAATCATTGCATTCTTTCAGCAAGTGATAAAATGGATACGTTTTATTAGAAAAATGAAAAAAACCTACCTGAAGACTGCAAGGGTCAGAGACCAGAGCACTAATGGCTTCCTCAGTTCAAACTTTGCTCGTTTATTCATTAGGTGCCGACCACCGAATATAAAGGCAGCATACAGAGCAGAAAACAGGAAAGATTTCTTCCTGCAAACAAGCAAACAAAATCTTTAAGATATTTTTAGTCATTAGGAAACACCAAATTTTGTACCAGTTCTCCTCTTTGTAAGCACTGAAAAAATATTCTTGAGAATATTCCTGCTTCACTGAAGAGGGAGTCTAGTCTACACGGCAAACTAGTGTTCTGTTGAAATCTCCCTTGACAAATCAGGTCTTCCAGTAGTTTAACCAACATATTAAGTATCATGTCAGGATAGATATATTTCCTTTGTAGGCTCTAGGACTGAAATTTCAACAACATAGCATTGAAGTACAAAAAGTAGTCTTTTCACTGAGAGAAATAATTTTATTCTTTAGAGTTTGTTGAGCCAATTTAGATACATACATGAATTTTAAAAAGAAGTGTTTTTATTGGAACTATTTGGTGACAAGGTTGTGTCTTGGAACAAGATAGCCATTTAAAATTTTATCTTGGGTGGGTGTGGTGGCTCACACCTGTTATCCCAGCACTTTGGGAGGCAGAGGTGGGTGGATCACTTTAGGCCAGGAGTTTGAGACCAGACTGGCCAACATGGTAAAACTCCCTCTCTGTTAAAAATACAAAATTTAGCCAGGCATGGTGGTGGGCACCTGTAATCTTAGCTACTTGGGAGGCTGAGGCAGAATTGCTTGAAACCAGAAGGCAGAGGTTGCAATGAGCTGAGATTTTTGAGACTCCATCTCAAAAGGCAAAAGAATAAAAGAATGGTTATTCCATAGGCAGCCCTGAGGACTGCTGGCTGGCTACTTTTATGGGTTTTTTAATTACATGCTAAACGAGGGGTAGATTATTCATGAGTGCTCCGGGGAAAGGGGCGGGGATTTCCCCAGGAACAGAACTGAGGGTTCCTTCCCTTTTTAGACTGTATACTGTACCATGGCATTTGTGAACTGTCATGGTGTTGGTGGGAGTGTCTTTTAGCATGCTAATGCATTATAATTAGCATATAATAAGCAGTGAGGATGATCAGAGGTCACTTGTGTTACCATCTTGGTTTGGGTGGGTTTTGGCCAGCTTCTTAACTATATCCTGTTTTATCAGCAGGGTCTTTGTGACCCGTATCTTGTGCCAACCTCCTATGTCATCCTGTGACTAAGAATTCCTTACCTCCTGGGAATGCAGCCCAGTAGGTCTCAGCCTCATTTTACTTAGCCCCTATTCAAGATAAAGTCACTCTGGTACAAATGCCTCTGACAACAGTACTGATAATGCCAAAAGATAAATTCAAAAGCAAAAATCCACAAACTTCTATAATAGAACTATGATTCGACTGAAAGCAACAGAAACCTTATAAATAATTTAAAACAGTTGAGCATGTTTCCTGAGAAAGCAATGTTTCTCTTAAAATGGGTCTTCCCTATTCAATTAGATCAATAAGGAAAGGGTTGAGAAATAAGTTACAAAACATAATATCAAAAGCAAAATGTGTTCACCTAAAGAGTATTATTTGTAAAATGCTTCGTGTTTTCTCCCTTTATGCTGACATGTAATGCTGACTCATAAGGGACCTTGCTATTTACACAAGCAGCTTTCCTATGTAAATGAATGCAAGTGACCTACTTAGTGAATACCACCAAATAAAGCAATGATTCCAGAAATCAACCCATAAGTAAATGTTGAATAAATCACTTTCACTGAGGTTTACAGACTCTTCTCTTGGGCCCACAAGACCTGGAACACAGTAGGTGCTTAATAAATATCTGTTGAATGAACGTGGTCTTGTCCTATCAAATTTTCTGATGGGGAAAATAATCAGGCATCTGTGTACAGTAAACAGGCAGCAAACACTAACAGAAAGTTGTACTTTCCCCGTAATACATTAATAACTAAAGAGTCAAATATTCAGAAAAATATTATGATACATTTTCTTCCCCCAGAAAGACATTGATTATTTCTATACTTCAGTGAAACAATTTTGTGGAAACTTTAACTATTGGACATTTCAGGAAGAAAGTACTTTTGGCCATAAATTATATATTGCTTTATTTCTCCTCTGGAAATTACAAGGGCATGGAATTAAATTACTTAAGAGTCACAATCACTGTTTCTGTTTATGCACATATAAGCAAAGACTAAAGAAAAATAAAGTTCTACCAAGTTAATGTAGGTGATAGTAATCTGAAAAAGTATATACTTTTTTTCTAATTTATAAAGGTAATAAGTGACAATAATCACATTATGATTTATAGAGTGATTCCTATGGGTAGACATAATGCCAAAAAGCTTTACCATTTAATCCTCATGGTGCAGGTAAAGTATTATCTTTATTTCATAAATAAACAGGCTTAGAGGTAAAGTAGCCCTAGATTTTCCTGTTCTTGTGGTAAACTTTCAGAAGAAAAAGGGGTACTTGAAGTGTTATCTTATAAGCTGTAAAAATTCCTTAAGCTGTCCTGTTGAATTACATAATCATTGCATAATGTGTAGAACATTGTGTAACTGTGAAAAGATGAAGAAGAATTTCCCATCTTCATGTTTCTACTGTCATATTTTCTGAGCCTGGGAAGCTTTCATCCAAACCCTCTTTGCTTCTTTGAGAACAGAAATTAATTATACATATACCATGGAAGACATTTCCTTAAAATTACCATTATTTATCTTACCCATTCAACATAATTGAGATTCTGATTATGGTTGTATTAACTGTATTACTTGCAATCATAAACCAAGTTAAATGAATATCTTCATACAATCCTATCATTCTAGCCATAAAGGGAAAAGTAATGCCTCAAGAACCAAGAAAAGAACAAAAAATCTTCCCTATGTATTTTTTCTCCAATTTCCTAACTTCTAAAATGAGAATTAATCCTAATGCACTGCTCACTTCCCAGCAAGGGCCATTCACTTTTCCACAAGAGCTCTCTTTACAAAGCAATTCAACAGCTAAGGCAATGAAGTCAGTCAGTACAGAATCATAGAACTTGATAATTGCAAGCAAGGAACCTTAGAGGTGGAGCCCAATTTCCTCCTTCGACAGAAAAGAGAATAGGGAACCGATGACAATAGTCACTCACAGTCACACAGCTTCATGCTACACTGGTCAAGACTATCCAACATTGTCATGGCTGTGGTCAAGCAGGTAGGTAAACACAAAATAATTGTATAAGCTATATCAGGGTCACAGGTAGTTAATGGGAATCGGTTTGAGTGCTGTGATCAAAGTAAGTTTTTCATTGCATGCACAGAAATCTTTTACTGTAGTGAAATTCAAATCCTTGGGGTTAGTTTGGAATTAAACCTAAGCATCTGCTATAAGTGGAAGTTGCCTAAGCATTAATAATTACCTCTTTAACTGAGTTGTCATTTATGGTTGAATGTACTATTTGTTTTCCATATTGCTTAGAAGAAGGTAAGATTTTCTTTAATGAACAGGACAATTTAAATGAATTAAAATTGCCTTTCCTTTCTGGCATCTCTCCGGTAAAGTTCAATTATATTCAAGATGAATAATGGTTTGCCACTAGCCCACTTAGTTTTTAATGTGGATAGATTGCTTTCCTAATGGTTCTGTGGTAATACTTTGTATACTGGCAGGCCTCCATACTTGGGTATAATGGTAACACTATACTGTTTTATTATTAGATAATCAGTCATTTTGAGATAGCATGGACTCTTCTTGTTTAATAAATTTTAAATGTGCATCATATAGCACAACCCATAATTATAGGTACTTAATAAGTACTTTTCAGTGTGGTGATTCAGGAGTTATGATTACCAGGTGACCAACCAAATAAAGACAACCCAAATGAAATACTGATGTGCTTTAATTCTGTCAAGCTTATATTTATCCTTTTTACCCTTCTATTTCTGTCATCAAGATGAACAATGGAAATTATTCCATAATTAATAAAAATGAATAGTGGATCTATCCTTAGAAATCTGAATTTCTCTATCATACTATCTTGTTCCAAAGCATTCCTAGGACATGCTTTTTTGATTCTTACCAGAGTAGCTGAGCAAGTTCTCACTTATGATTGGTATTTCTTGCTTTACCCATTAACATTTCTGAAAAAGTATGCATAAATTGAAATACATGTTTTTTTAAACTCGTGGGATTTCACTGAAACCAGTGCTTAGCTTGAGTCTCGTTAGCATTCACGTCAAGATTTCTATACCCCAAGAGTCAAACTAGTTTATTTGCTAATGAAGAAATGTTTATGTGGGTAGTATTTCAACATAGGATAATTGCTAATGAATAGCTTGGGAAGCTGGCCTGAGCTCCCTCCTGGCTCTTTCATGTCGTATCTACATGGCCTTCATTATGGCTACTGTACACATGTGAGGTACAAGGAGATGGGAAAGTAAAAAGCAGTGAGGGGAAAAAATGAAAAGGGCACCGCCCAGTTCAGCTGATACCTATCTACCTAGTGCAGAGAAAGTTTTCATGTTCTAAGGTGAAGAGTCTGACGCTGAGACAGAATGCCAACTGGTGCACCCCCCTCCTCTTTTAAGAGTCCTCTTGCAGTTCAGTTGCTGACTCAAGTCAGGAAACAACTTATGGTTCTGAAAGTGATTTTAGGGATACAAATAAAGTAGGGACCCAGAGACTAGAGGAAATAACACTACTTTTTGCCAATATGACATTTAATGTATGTCTATGGTGGTTATAATTTGATAAGAAAATAAGATTTTCTTGAGAGGGATCCTGAGGTTTCTTGAAGTCCTATCCAGGGCTTAATTCTGCCACATTCTTAAGGATTCTGCAAGACTTCATATAGGCATTTTTTTTACGTTAAAAAAAATGGAAATTTTTCCGCAGATTTTTTTTTTTTTTTTTTTTTTTTGAGCCAAGGTCTCATTCTGTCATCTAGGCTGGAGCGTAGTGGTGTGATCATGGCTCACTGCAGCCTCAGCCTCCAGGGCTCAAGCGATCTTCCCACTTCAGCCTCCTGGGTAGCTGGCACTACAGGTGCGCCTGATTCTTTTAATTTTTTTGCAGAAATGGGATCCCAGTATGCTGGCCAGACTGGTCCCCAACTCCTGGACTGAAGCAATCCTCCTGCCTCAGCCTCCCAAAGTGCTGGGATTACAGATGTAAGCCACCACACCTGGCCAGGAGGTTTTATTCGTAAGTAAATTAACCATATGCCCAGAAATTCTGACAAACAATTTTGTGAATAATCATGAAAATATGCCCGTAATTGATACAAATGAAAAGTGGCTTTACAATTGCAAGACAAAGCCATAACTAAGGTAAAGGTTCCTTATTCTTATTCCAAGCTGTTGTGTATGACCAAGGATACCAACTAAGGTGTGATTTCCAAGCTTCTTTGAGTTGTAAGCACTTTACCTTTTTGCTTCCCCCTCCAGATACTAATTTAGAGATCACAGGTTCTCCTCATCTATTTTTTTAAAAAAGGTGTGAGAACTAGTTTTTAGTTTTTCTATCCTTGAAGTAGGCCATAAGCAAAGTAGAGTTACATTTAGTCCATGAGATTCAATAACATGGCTGCACATCCCTTTCCAGGAAAGTATACCCCTCTTAGAAGCAGATTGGACACAGAAATTCCTTGTATACATCTGTAAACTTATCTTTTTCCCCCCTTGTCACCTTTTAAAAAATCTTGGTGCATTCCGTTTTTGTATTACAACTGGACATAAGATTTTGGGGGAGAAAATACTCTCAAAATGTTAAAACGAAAAAACTGCACATCTAAAAAGACTCTTTAATACTTAAATCGGCAGGTTATCAATTCCCTTTGTTTCCTTAGAATTCCTTTTTTTTTTTCAGTAGCTGATGAAAATGTTGACATCCACCCATCCATTCAAAATTCAATAAACCTTTCAGTTTTTTTTTTTCTTCTGTTAGGTTTAAGCCATGGCCAAGAAATTTAATAAACTCATTGTATTCCTTTGCAGTATGGTTAGTAAGACATTGAATGAAAAAAGGATCCTTATGTGAGAGTAAATTCTGCCTCTGCTAATCTAGCTAGAAAGAAAAATTTACATGGTAACACATGGTTATATAGGGGGTCAGTAGCAAATGTGTGTTACAGATAATGTTTTATAAAGAGCTAAGGAAGGAGACTATTGTCATGAGAAAATGCTGTGGAAGATTTAAGAGTGGACCCTGAAGGTTTTGGATGGATGGGCAAAGGGCAAGTAGCAATAGGCAATGGAGTTAGGTGTGAGCTAAACCGGGAGTCTGTCATACCAGATGCTGTGGGTTGGGTATGGTAGAAAGCCTGTTTGGAGATGCGGGCTAAAGTTGGGTTGTGTGACATTCTGAAAACTGCAGCAGAGTTCAGGCTGTATCTGCACCTCAAGTTTGCAGTAAGTTGTGAGGCATGTGCCCAGTAATTTGTTACTACTAATTAAAGTACAGGACTGAAATGTATGGCTTAATTTTCTTTTCTTCTTTTTCTTCTTAAATAAACAATAGACTAAATCACACATACCCCATCATGTCCCATGGGTGAGAGATGGGGAAGTAATAACTTGTGCCCCCAGAAAAATGGATAGAGAACTGCTGGATGAAGTCATGAAGGGTACTGAAAGTCTGAGCTGGGAAGGAAGACAGAATTTAAAAAGATGTTCACAGAGAAACTTGGTATGCATTATTTCTATCCCTGAGGGCAGATGTGGCAAAAGTTGAATTCCTGATCTCTCGATCAATGCACTGAAGTGTGTGTGTGAACTGCGGCTCTTCACAGGAATCATCAGATGGGATCACCTTTAGGAATGAATATTCTCCTGTTCATAGTAAAAGATAGCAAACCGCTAGGCTAATCACAGCATTATTTCAGTAGAGTTGATGTTTGCAGCTCAGAGAATTGTCAGTTTCAATCCTAAAGCGTTGCATCTTAGAGAGGTACAAGAATACTTTTTGTTTCAGTAGATATGGCTTAATAAAACTGATCAGAAAAAATCAGTTTTGAAGTTAGAACCAAAGACTGTAGACTGTCCTTGCTGCTCTAGTTAGCAAAATCAAACAAAGAATTAAAATCCGGGCTGAGTGTGGTGGCTCATGCCTGTAATCCCAACACTTCGGGAGGCTGAGGGGGGTGGATCACTTGAGATCAGGAGTTCAAGACCAGCCTGGACAACATGGTGAAACCCCCTCTCTACTAAAAAAACAAAAACTTAGCTGGGTGTGGTGGTACATGCTTGTAATCCCAGCTATTCAGGAGCCTAAGGCAGGAGAATCTCTTGAACCTGGGAGGCAGAGGTTGCAGTGAGCCAAGATCACACCATTGCATTCCAGCCTGGGCAACAGAGCAAGACTCCATCTCAGAAACGAAAATAAAAACAAAAGAATTAAAATCCATTCAATTTTTTATCTCCTTAGAGTAAAGCTTGCCGGCAGGGCACAGTGGCTCACGCCTGTAATCCCAGCACTTCGGGAGGCTGAGGCAGGCAGATCACGAGGTCAGGGGATGGAGACCATCCTGGCTAACACGGTGAAACCCCGTCTCTACTAAAAAAATACAAAAAAAATTAGCCAGGCGTGGTGGCAGGCGCCTGTAATCCCAGCTACTGAGGAGGCTGAGGCAGGAGAATGGCGTGAACCTGGGAGGCATAGGCTGCAGCGAGCCAGGATTGTGCCACTGCACTCCAGCCTGGGCGACAAAGCAAGACTCCGTCTCAAAAAAAAAAAAAAAAAGAGGAAAGCTTGCCATCACCCCCAAGTCAAAACCTGGCAGAAAACATATCAGTGACTGGGCATGGTGGCTCATGCCTGTAATCCCAATGCTTTGGGAGGGCAAGGCGGGAATATTACTTGTCCCAGGAGTTCGAGACCAGCCTGGTCAACATACTGAGACCCCCTCCATCTCTACAAAAAAATTAAAAATTAGTCTGCTGTAGTGGTGCATGCCTGTAGTCCTAGCTACTTGAGAAACTAGGGTGGGAGGACTGAGCCTAGGAGGTTGCGGCTGCAGTGAGCATGATTGCCCCATGCACTCCAGCCTGGGCGACAGAGTGAGACCCTGTCTTTAAAAAAGCCAAAAACAAAACAAAAAGTCATTGGTCTTATTTAGACAAATCTCCCATGCCCATCTGAAAACAAACTAAAAATGATCTCTATGATGAAAAAATAATTTCTAGTTTCTGTTTTGTTTGAGAGTATTGATTGTTGCAGGTGAGAATTTCCAGGTAACGATCTAGTGATAGTAAAACAAAACTCTTGTGGCCATTTAAAACAGTAATTTCTGAATAAGAGAGGCAGCATGTAGAAATAGAATTCAGAAGGTGGTTCCAGCAGCAATTCAATTTCATTGCACTAATTTTCTTGAAGAAATACTCTTCATTCTACGAGAAAGGTAGCATATTAATTTCCAATGAGGCAATGCTCACTTGTTAAATTATTTCAAAATATAATAATGATGAGCCAGGCATGATGGCATGCACCTGTAGTCCCAGCTACTCAGGAGGCTGAGGTGGGAGAAGCCCTTGAGCTCGAGACATCGAATCCAGCCTGAGCAACATAACAAGACTCCATCCCTTGAAAACGAAAAAAAGTGTAACAATAATGGTAATATAAAAACTGTACTATAATTCTGAAATGCCTCCTATTAAATAAGAGTAGTTGAGTGACTCTCCTGTCACCAAGCTAAACTTTATCTCCTATAGCCTTAAAAATCTATTCTATAATATAAATGAAGCATTAGTCATCTATTTTCCTAAATATAAAATTTTATTGGGCTTGAAGTTACACAAATACAATTATGGGCTATGTCAGTCAAAGCTGTAGGCATTTTTTTTTCTTTTTTTTAGATCTTCTTTTCCAGTCCAGTGGCCTAATGACCCTAGACATATAGAATCTCAAGATTGGAACAGACCTTAGACATCTAGTCTAAACTTTTCAGCTTAGGAATTCCTGGCTAAAAACTTCCTGGCTGATGGTCCTCTAATTTCTACTAAATGTAGAAATAATGACTGGAACTTGGAGGTCATTAGTTCCTGATCATATGGTACAGCTGGGCTTCTTTAAAAACTGACCCAAATGCTGAAGCCACTCATCCTTCCCCTATGGATGACCAACACCCTTTCAAACTAACAGGCTACACTTAGAGTTGAATATAAAAACCTGTTTCCTGATTGTCTTTATCCTAAAGAAGCCTAGGACGTCTTATAACTAATAGACCTATCAGAGCTGGAGGCTAAAACTAGAAGTGAAAAAACACTGTCAAAAGGAGACAATTATTCACAATGCATTGAAAACCGGATTTCAGGTTTATAAGATTAAGTCCAATTCAAACTGAAAATTTTCCTAGATTTAAATCAAAACCAAGAAAAATAACAGCTTGCACAATTATATAAACAAGCATAAACATATCCATGTTTATGAGCACTTTCTCTGTACTCAAGGACTGACATTTATATCAAAGGAGAATCCATTTCTGTTGTAGGTTACCACTACCTTAATATTTATATAGGGTTTTCATTTCCCCAAATCACCTCATAGACAGCTGAAAATTCCAAAAGCTAGAAAATAAAATGAAGGGGAAAACATGGCATGTTTTCACGTTAACTATTGGATAAATAAATATACTCCTGTCACTAATGATTCCCTCAATATAAATTTTGAAAAGAAACTGGGGAAGCAATGAGAAAATATACCCCAAATACTATTTCTGGATTAGAGAAAATATCTCAGCAGTGACGATGATCTCATGGTTAGTTTATAAATTGATTTTGTCAGCAAAATCAAATGTACATAAGAAATTAAGCTTGAGAAAAAACTGGCAGTAATCAGAAGAAATATATTTTTAGTAATGAGTGAAAATGACTTAAACATTGTTTTTACTTATGAGATTATCACCCGATTACCCAAGAAAGAACTCTGAATTTCATCTTGTTCTTAAAAATAATAATATAGGGCCAAGCATGATGGCTCATGCCTGTAATCCCAGCATTTCGGGAGGCCAAGGTGGGAAGACGGCTTAAGGCCAGGAATCCAAGGCCAGCCTGGGTAATATGGTGAGAACCTGTCTCTACAAAAAAAAACTTCCAGAAATAATAATAATATGGCAACATTTTGACTGGGGCTTTCATACTGCTCCTTCAAAATCTGAACTCTCATTCAGTGACATAAGAGGATAAAGTTTGCAGACAATAGCTTTGAGAACTCCGATAATGGGGACAGCTACAACAAATTCTCACAAACTGAATGGCTTCTAACAAAACAAATGTATTATCTTACAGTTCTGGAAGTTAGAATCTGAAATGAGTCTTACGGGGCTAAAATCAAAGAGTCACCAGGGTTGCATTTCTTCTGAAGGCTCTATGGCAGAATCCATTTCCTTGCCTTTTCCAACATCTAGAGTCCACTTGACATTCCTTGGCTCATGGCTGCCTCCTTCTCCATCTTCAAAATGCATCACACCAAGCTGTTTCCATGGTCACGTCACCTTATCTGACTCTGATCCCCCCAACTCCCTGTTAAGAACCCTGTGAATATAATGGGCCCACCAGATAATCCAGGGCCACAGCCTAGAGGCTTCCATTTTAACAACCCATGTGATTAGATGTCCCCTGCCCAAAGATATTCTGGAATAATCTCACCATCTCAAATTCCTCAACCTAATTGCATCCGCAACATGTCCTTTGCTATATAAAGTAACATATTCACAGAAGATGGGCACATTTTTGAGGGACTGTTATTCTGTTTACCATGTGGATTAAACTAAATCGTAAGATCTAAAGCCATTCTTCTACTAAAACACATAGGAGACCCCTACAGATGCACATGTTTCATGTCTATTCCTGGTTTGCCATCCCCAAAGCCAGGTTCTTCCCCTCTACTCAAGAAAGCATTTTAGAATCCAAAGGGCGAGAGCAACACTCTTATGGAGATTGTCTTTAAGCAACTCATTAACATGTGACTCACAAATATCAGCATCTGAACTCTTAGTAGCACATGACTTACTGTATCCTTTACAATGAACCAGGTACCTATGTTCAGAATTTCTAGTATAATATACAATTTACTAAAATTACTAATATGTATTCGATTTATTCTGACTGTCCACAGTCCTAAATTGCCATCTCTCAACACTCCTTTGCAACAACAAAGGTTACTTGGTTTGTAACCATTCTCTTAATCCCAATCTTAAAATACGTACTACAGGCTACTTTAAGTATGTTTTCCTGTTTGTGGCAATGCAGTTGTTTTATCCTTCCTCTCTTTTTGGGCTTATGTCTATAAAGATAGGTTTCTATGCAGCAATGGTCAAGTATCAGTCTTCCACCCAGATGGCCTGCTAGCAGCAGCATTTGACACAGATGGCAACTCCTTCTTTCCTGCAATGCTTCCTTCACTTCCTTCCTTTCTGTTTTCTCTTGCTTCTTCTCCAACTTCACCATCTGTTCTTTTTTCATTTTCCTTTGCTGCTTTCCCTTCATCTCCTCAATCCACAAACTGAGGATCCCCAGAATTCAATCTGTGGACCTCTTCTCTTTTGGCCTCCACCATGGGTTCTCACAGAGGGTGATGATTTTGCCCTTCAGAGGATATTTTGAAATATCTTAAGACATTTTTGGTCTTTACAACTGGAAGGCAGTTGGCTACTGGCAGGTGGTGTGTAGAGGCCCTGGATGCCACAAGACAGCCCTCTGCAACCAAAAATTATCCAGCCCCCAAAAATGCCAATAGTGCTAAGGTTGAGGATCCTGAACAAGAGAAATATGGAGACAGAAATTAAGAAAAGAGAAATTGGAAAACTCAAGAGGGTGTAGGCAAAACTGCTTCAAAAGTACGTTCACTGATTGGGGTGATACCACTTATGCCTCAGACACACTCAGGCTGAATTGCTTCAAATTGATTTCAAGCACAGAGTAAATAAAGCAAGCTTCTTGTTTCAAGTGAGCAGTTCGATTTAAAAGGGAAAACAAAATAACAACCAGTGAGTCAGTATATTACTCTCTTCACTGTTCTAGAATTAGGTTCACTTCTGACTACGATGGGCCATGTCCAGCTGCATCCTGAAGGCTGGTAGATTGAATTCTTACAATTATTCATCTGCTTCAGTGCCTCTCCTGAATGAAGGTCATCTAGAACTGCATTTAAAATGGGTGGATCACGAGGTCAGGAGATCGAGAACATCCTGGCTAACAAGGTGAAACCCCATCTCTACTAAAAATAAAAAAATTAGCCGGGCGTGGTGGCGGGCGCCTGTAGTCCCAGCTACTTGGGAGGCTGAGGCAGGAGAATGGCGTGAACCCGGGAGGCGGAGCTTACAGTGAGCCGAGATTGCACCACTGCGCTCCAGCCTGGGCAACAGAGTGAGACTCTGTCTCAAAAAAAAAAAAAAAAAAAAAAATATATATATATATATATATATCTCCCCAGAGAGGAGAAAAAGGAATAATCTTTTTTTTTTTTTTTTCTTTTTGAGACAAACTCTCACTCTATCGCCCAGGCTGGAGTGCAGTGGTGAGATCTCGGCTCACTGCAACCTCCGCCTCCTGGGTTCAAGTGATTCTCCTGCCTCAGCCTCCCAAGTAGCAGGGACTACAGGAACACACCACCATGCCCGGCTAGTTTTGTATTTTTGGTGGACACAGGTTTTCACCATTTTGGCCAGGCTGATCTCAAACTCCTGACCTCAAGTGATCCACCCGCCTCGGCCTCCCAAAGTGCTGGGATTACAGGTGTGAGCCACTGCGCCTGGCCAGTGATCTTAAATGAATAGAACCAGACTTCATGGTAACTGCCAAGACACCACCCCCCTAACTCCACACAGAATTCAAATTCTTCTTGAAGTAGAATTTTAGTTACTGCAGTCATCTCTTTATTAACCACTTTTATAGATAATTCCATGATAACCAATATTAACTTCACCCAGTATGGGACAATGTTACCACTATTCTACTCTGTTTCTACATTTTCAACTTTTTTAGATTTCACATATAAATGAAATCACACAATAACATTTCTTTTTATGCCTGGCTTAGGATAATATCTTCCAGGTTTATCCATGTAGTCACAAATGATAGAATCTCTTTTTTAATGCGAAATAAAATTCCATTATATCACAATTTCTTTATCCATTGATCTGTTTACGGGCACCTAGGTTGATTCCATATGTTGGCTGCTGTGAATAATGCTACAATGAACATGGGGATACTCCCATATTCAAAGTCCGAAAATTTGATATCACCAAAGTTTTCTATGACATACACTTTAAAAAATTGAGAGTAGGCCAGATGCAATGGCTCATGTCTGTAACCCCAACACTTTGAAAGGATGTGGTGGGCAGATTGCTTGAGCTCAGGAGTTTGAGACCAGCCTGGGCAACATGGCCAAACCCCTTCTCTACAGTAAAAATTAGCCACGCATGGTGGTAGGCATCTGTAGTCCCAGCTACTCGAGAGGCAGAGGTAGGTGAATGGCTTTAGCTTGGGAGGTGGCGGAGGTTGCAGTAAGCTGTGATCATGCCACTGCCCTCCAGCCTGGGCCACAAAGGAAATTTCAAACAAATTAATTAATTAAAATTAATAAAAATTGAGAGTAGCAATAGCTCTATTTTCAGAAGTATTGGAATTGTAATAAAATAGGTGGTATTGGCTGAGTGCAGTGGGTCATGCCTGAAATCCCAGCACTTTGGGAGGCCAAGGCAGGTGAATCACTTGAACCCAGTATGTAGAGGTTGCAGTGAGCTGAGATTGCACCAATGCACTCTAGCCTGGTGACAGAGTGCGTCTCCATCTCAAAAGAAAGAAAGAAAAAAAAAGGTGGTATCACATGATAAAGTATATCAATTGAGATGGACAAAATCAATTGCACTGTTTTCTAAATCTTCTAACAAAATATTAATCATCTTTATTAGCTACTCACAGGCCTTTGCTCCCCTAATTAACATGTTGCAAGGCACTAATTCTCCTCTAAGGATTGTGCACAAAGCTAAACCAGTTCAACAGGAAGCTGCGCTCCTGCTTGTGCCTGTCATCAGTTTCTACAGCGGGAAGCAGAGTAAAACTGGTCAGACAGTGTCCGGAGCTGGTTTAGGAGTCCTTTATCTCTATATAGCTTAGAAGACTTTTATCTATATATCTTTTTACATCATTTCCCACAGACTTTCACTTTCTTTTTTCTCTTTGCCCCTTCACAGATTCAAAGCCAAAAAAAGAGAGAAAGAAAGACCTTTTGGGGAAAATCTTAATGAAAAAAAATCTCAAGATCCCTCAGAAAACAAGAAAATTAAGTCCATAGCTCCCATTTCTTCATAAAGTGAAAGGGAACTTTATTCTTACAAGTTTCTCTTTACTGCCAGGTTGTGAGACACAAGAATAATTTCTCCTTTCTTTGCATGTCAGGTGAATTGCTGCATGTGACTATGGTATGGCTGGGATTGATCAAGCATGGATTCCCAGAAAAGAGATTCTCAAAATCACAATGCCTACAGCATCCTTTTCTTCAGAGTTTCAAAAGGAAGGAAAAATGCTTAGGGAGAGAAGAGTGTGTATGTGACTCAACATTCCTTTGAAAGTCAGAAGGTTAATGTGTCTTCCCCTATTCCCAAAGCATGCCCTTTGAGAATGCATTATGGGGAAATGTGTTCTTCAGATTGCTTATGCTGGCATGCACACACCATGTGGATAGGTAGCAATCGCTCTGGATAGTAAACCTGAGCCTTTGCTTTTCTTGTCTTTTTTCTACTTTGCTTGTTTGTCAAGACTGATTTACTAAGCACCAAGATTTGAGAGTAACAATATTTAGCTATGTTTACACAGAAAGGTTTCCTACCAAAAAATAAAAAATAAAAAAGTAAAAAAAAAAAAAGATTTGGCAAGTATTTACTCAAGATACTTCTTGAGTCTAAGGCCTTTTTTGATCAATTTGAGGAATTCTAGATGTCTGAGTGTGATAACAATAGTTAAAAAGTATTACTGAATATCCATGGGTTGCAGCTCTTCACATAGCTCTCCTATGGGAACTTGATGCACCATTATACACAAACAGTTGGGTCCTGACTTCAAACTACTACTATGCATTGTTCCAGGCCACGAAATTAAAATGTGTTTCAATTTGATCAAAATAGTAATTACTTTTTAAAAACTGCACTTACTATATTCTAGGTACTGATGGAGGTGTTCTGAGCACTTGAGATTCCACCGCTACATTGTATACCAGGAATGTTACACTTCTCAACCACTACATTGTATACCAGGAATGTTACACTTCTCAGCTGGTTCTTTTCTTTTTTTTCTTTTCTTTTTTTTTTTTTTTTTTTTGAAACAGAGTCTCGCTCTATCCCCCTGGCTGGAGTGCTGTGGAGCGATTTTGGCTCACTGCAACCTCTGCCTCCCGGGTTCAAGCGATTCTCCTGGCTTAGCCTCCCAAGTAGCTGGGATTACAGGCGCCTGCCACCACGCCTGGCTAATTTTCGTATTTTTAGTAGAGACAGGGCTTCGCCACGTTGGCCAGGCTGGTCTCGAACTCCTGACCTCAGGTGATCCACCTACCTCGGCCTCCCAAAGTGCTGAGATTACAGGCCTGAGCCTGTAATGGGTGGATGTAAGCCAAGACTGGAAGGAAGTATGGGAATGAGCCATTCTGGGAGGAAATGCGTAAGGCAGGGAATAGCCAAGTCAAGAACTATCTTCAAAGGTAAAATTTACCAGATTCTACTGATTTTGTCTTTGGAAAATTCAACATATTGAGATGTCATTTGAGCATGTATCTATAAATGTGTATCTGGGCAATAATTCTCCTTTCAGTAACTTTTCAGGTAAATTCAGCTAAGTTTGCATAGTCATAAATATCATTCAGGAAAAAATGAGCATGAAAAGATCTAGACTATGGTAAAGAAGGTTTGTTTGTTTTTATCAATAACTAAAATCTTCTTTAAAAGGTAACTATAAATCTTAGTTACCAAGAAATCCCAGTTGGTTCTTAACAGTAGTAGTTTTTACCATCTTGGCTAACACGGTGAAACCCCGTCTCTACTAAAAATACAAAAAAATTAGCCAGGCGTGGTGGCAGACGCCTGTAGTCCCAGCTACTCGGGAGGCTGAGGCAGGAGAATGGCGTGAACCCAGGAGGCGGAGGTTGCAGTGAGCCGAGATTGCGCCACTGCACTCCAGCCTGGGCGACAGATCGAGACTCTGTCTCAAAAAAAAAGTAGTAGTTTTTATCATCCCTTCTCACTCTCACACCCCATCACTATTTCTGCCAGTTAAAAATATAAATCACTTACACTTGCAATTCACTTTGTCTCCAATAGAACATTCCTTTCTTTAGGTCACATTCATAAGGCTTAATTTTTGGACATAGAGAGAAATCTGTAAGAAAAGGTCTCCAGAGAAATCTGTAAGAAAAGGTCTCCAGACTTTCCAAAGTCACTACATGCTTGAAGCTGACTACTCCTTTTCCATCTAGTGTTTGCCTACTTTGCTATATACTGGCAGCCGTATACCCTTGACTGCTTAATGGCAGAACATACTGTAAGAGCTTAGGCATACTACACCGTTGTTTTGTCTTTGTGTTTTCCCACTTAGACTGACTTATTCTGTATTTCCAGCTGTCCAAAAGGACAATGGCCCTTTGCTTCAAAATCCTTAAATCTGATATAGAAAAACTGTTGAGGACACAAGTGTGCAAGACTATATAAAAGGAAATGTAAACATTAAATTATATGAAGTCAAGATCTTTATGTAGCATATAATCTTCACTATTAGCCAACTATCTTGTTTATTTAAATATGAATGGCATTAATATTATATGGTAGATTCTAGGCTCTACAGACTGTAGGAATTTTAACAGATTTGGCATCATCTCTAAGATGTCCAAAATGCTTTTCTTTTTTTGTGGTTTCTGTTTTGAAACACAGTCTGGCTGTGTTGTGCAGGCTGGAATGCAGTGGCACAATCTCAGCTCACTGCAACCTCTGCCTCCTGGTCTCAAGCCTTCCTCCCAAGTAGCTGGGACTACAGGTGCTTGTCACCACACCTGGCTAATTTTTGTGTGTTTTTGTAGAGATGAAGCTTCACCATGTTGCCCAGCCTGGTCTCAAACTCCTGAGCTCAAGCAATCCACCCACCTTGGCCTCCCAGAGTGCTGGGATTACAGGTGTGAGGCACTGCACCCGGCCCCAAAATGCTTTGACATGGTTCAAATGGTTTCACCTCTCCCTACTCCTCTGGAATCATGTCATAACTTTCCCCTGTGACACCCTGTGCTACAACTATACTGTCATTCTCCAAAGACATCACGCCCCTTTGTCCCACTTTCCTTCGCACATGCTGTTCTCAGTACGTTGAATGCCCTTCCCATGCAACCTTGTCATTTTTTATGATCACTGTGAAGATACTCCCTGACTGCTTCTAGGTCAAGTTGCCTATCCCTTCCTTCATCACCACTGTGCTTTCTATATGTCTTTTTCTTACCTACTGTAGCACTTGTCTGTTTGTATTTTACACACAAGCTAACATATCTGTCTTTCCTTTGAAATCCTGAAGGGTACAGATTGTATCTTACTCAACTTTGTATGCCCAGGACTTTACGTCTTTCCTCAACATATGAATTAATAAATGGTTTATTTGATTTTTTAAATCTTGTGTTTTGGACATACTTTTAACAGGGAAAATACATTATTGAAGACTAAATAGAATAACTGATGCTCAAGTGATCTGTGAAACTCTGCTTCAAACTCACTTTATTTTAAATCTAAACAGTAAAAATTGTATTTTCTTATAGCTCTTTTCCCTTAGTAGCAGAAAGAATACTACAAATTAAGATAGGTAGTTTAAATCTTGAAATGATTTAAATTATTCATTCAGCAAGTATTAATTGAGTGCCAACTGTGTGCTAAGCAGAGTTCTAGGCTCCGGGAATACATCAGTGAACCAAACAGACAAAAAACCCCGTCCTCGTGGATGGAGGTTACAAGCCTGGAGAAAGACAATAAATAAGAAAATAAGTAAATTATATAGTATGTTAGAAAATTACAAATATTATGGAAAGAAAAAAAGCAAGTTGGTGCAGGTGGAAAATGGGATGGAGAGTGAGGGACAGAGCACAGTGTTAAACAGGGTGGCACACTGGGAAGGTGGATGTGAGCCAAGACTGGAAGGAAGTATGGGAATGAGCCATTCTGGGAGGAAATGTATAAGGCAGGGAATAGCCAAGGCAAGAACTATCTTCAAAGGTAAAATTTACCAGATTCTACTGATTTTGTCTTTGGAAAATTCAACATATTGAGATGTCATTTGAGCATGTATCTATAAATGTGTATCTGGGCAATAATTCTCCTTTCAGTAACTTTTCAGGTAAATCCAGCTAAGTTTGCATAGTCATAAATATCATTCAGGAAAAAATGAGCATGAAAGGATCTAGACTATGGTAAAGAAGGTTTGTTTGTTTTTATCAATAACTAAAATCTTCTTTAAAAGGTAACTATAAATCTTAGTTACCAAGAAATCCCAGTTTCTGCTACTGCCTCTTGTGAGTTAAATTAGACAGTCTGTAGACAGATTAGAAGGTACCACGGTAAAGTCTTGAATTAAAACAGGTTTAAAGTAGCTTGACTCTAGAGAAGAATTTATTTAATCTTTCTTCATAAAGAATGTGTTTAACCAGAAATACCATTTGACCCAGCAATCCCACTACTGGGTATATACCCAAAGGATTACAAATTATTCTATTATAATGAATGTTTGCTTATTGCATACGTATGTTTACTGCAGCACTATTCACAATAGCAAAACATGAAACCAACCCAAATGCCCACTAATGATGGACTGGACAAAGAAAATGTGGTATATATACACCATGGAACACTATGCAGCCATAAAAAGGAATGAGATCATGTCCTTTGCAGGGACATGGATGAAGTTGGAAGCCATCATCCTCAGCAAACTAACACAGGAACAGAAAACCAAACTCTGCATGTTCTTACTCATAAGTAGGAACTGAACAATGAGAACACATGGACACGAGGAAGGGAACAACACACACTGGGGCCTGTGGTACAGGGAGTTAGGGGAGGGAGACCATCAGGACAAATAGCTAATGCACGTGGGGCTTAATACCTAGGTGATGGGTTGAAAGGTGCAGCAAACCACCATGGCACATGTTTACCTATGTAACAAACCTGTACATTCTGCACATGTATCCTGGAACTTAAAAAAAAAAAAAAGAATGTGTTTATTGTTCTTTCAGGATTTCCTCTTGCAAACCCAAACCTGAATATATATAAGCAAAGGCTAGTTCTTGAAGAAACTGCCAGGATTACTCTCAACTAGACAGATTTTTCTACAAGCACATTAATTCTGCTTCACTGGCCAACTGTTTTTAGGTCCAAGTTGCAAAAAAGTATAATGATTTCTGACAAGGACAAAAAATAGGCTTTCAATTTTCATCATGAGTCAGCAGTGAAGGACAAGGCACAAGTGACTTTTTAATATATGTTTCTCTAAATGAACATATAGAGAAGTAAAACCTAATGGTATTGTGGAAATCAGAACTTTTGAAAAGAAGGCAAATGAAATGAATAAATATTACTTTTAAACTAAAATAAAAAGTCATTGAGTAATTTTTATTTTAAAAATATACTCTAACAACTACCCATTTCCATTTTTTAAAAAATAAAGCCTTTGACTCCAATGCTTCAGTGAGTTGAGATGAAGTTTTAAATTTTTAGCTGAGTAATAACATTATATACCTATAAGCTGATCTCAATTTTAGGAAACCATCATTAAGTAAAAACATAAATGTTTCAAAGATAAGATATTGTTGTTTCTTTAAAAACATAAACACTTTTTTAAAAAGTCTTTCTACATTTCCCTACGTGTTTCCAGAGTATCTTCGTATCTTTATAGAACTCAGTGGCTCTATGAATGAAAGACCAAGACCATGTCAATATACATAAGGAAAGGGATGGATAAAATTTAATTTTCTTTATAAATTAATAAAAAGTAATTTTCTTTACTCTATTAGAAAGATAGGGATTTAGGCCAGGCATGGTGGCTCATGCCTGTAATCCCAGCACTTTGGGAGGCTGAGGTGGGCAGATCACCTGAGGTCAGGAGTTTGAGACCAGCCTGGTCAACATAGTGAAACCCCATCTCTCTTAAAAAAAAAATAAAAAAAATTAGCCAGGCATGGTGGCATACGCCTGTAGTCCCAGCTACTCAGGAGGCTGAGGCAAAAGAATCGCTTGAACCTGGGAGGTGGAGGTTGAAGTGAGCCAAGATGGCACCACTGCACTCTAGCCTGGGCGACAGAGCGAGACTCCATCTCAAAAAAAAAAAAATAGAGATTTGGTTTATGGGTGATTTTTATTTTGTACTTGCATTCATGTGGGTTATAAAAAGAATGTTTTTATTACTTTTATAATAAAAAATAAAACAATATGTCAATTTTAATCAGAGTGAGAGAAGGGAGAAAAAGATTGGGAGCAAGAATTAGAGATTGAGAGAAACTGATTTGGCCCCAGTGATGGTTAAAAACAAAAACTGTCCAATCTTTTTTTTGTGAGACAGGATCTCACTCTGTTGCCCAGGCTGGAGTGCAATGGTTTGATCTTGGCTCACTGCAACCTCTACATCCCAGGCTCAAACAATTGTCCTACCTCAGCCTCCCAAGTAGCTAGGACTACAGGCATGTACCGCCATGCCCAGATAATTTTTGTATTTTTTGTAGAGATGAGGTTTTGCCATGTTGCCCAGGGTAGTCTTGAACTCCTGGACTCAAGGCTGACCCACCTGCCTCGGCCTCCCAAAGTGCTGAGATTACAGGCATGAGTCGCTGCACCCAACCCTCAAATCTTGGCCTGAGTGGAGCAGAGTAAAACAAGGGAGAGGGGCAAAGCTTGGAATTCCCATTAATGACAAATCAGTAACTCAATTTTGCCCCTCATTGACTTTTGGGAGGCCTCCCAAGGAAGTATACATATGGATGGTAGTGAAAAATTTGATGCCAGTTTCCTCCAAACTTCTAATACACTCTCTGGTGTTATGTAACAAATTTAAGAGGATTTGAAGGTGCTAGTCATCTAACAACCCTATGTACACACACTCACATTTTTGAACTAAGCATTTTTACCAGCTAATCTTATGTGTTTCTCAAAATGGTTCACTGACCACCTCCAACAGAACCTATGAGATGCTTGCAAAGACAGATTTCCTCCTCCCAGACTTTCTGAATCCAGAAGAGTAACCATAAAGTGTGCACTGAAGTAAAAGTCTTAGAAGATTTTTAAATTTGAGCTTGATCCACTATTTCATGCTTTTATCATGATGATTTAGCTACCTATCTTCAGCCACTCTCTTCCAGAATCCCTCAGGACTCTTTGATTTCCTATCTCAAAGATAACATCACTTTGATAACATGCATATCAAAATTAATTGTATCCTACAAAAAATAAAATACTTCTGGCTAATACTGTAATTACAAAAAAAAAATCAATGCATTAAAAAAAGCAAAGACTTTGAAAAGAGAGGAAAAGGAAAAGTAGTAGACCATCTCTCCTACTCTACACTAAGAGACACAGGATATATGTACCGTTGTTGCCACAATACCATGGCTCTAAGAAAAGCCTGGCCAGGTGCAGTGGCTCACGCCTGTAATCCCAGCACTTTGGGAGGCCGAGATGGTTGGATCACAAGGTCAGGAGTTCGAGACCAGCCTGACCAACATGGTGAAACCCTGTCTCTACTAAAAATACAAAAATTAGTTGGGTGTGGTGGTGCACACCTGTAAACCCAGCTAGGCAGGAAACTGAGGCAGGAGAATCACTTGAACCCGGGAGGCAGAGGTTGCAGTGAGCCGAGATCGTGCCATTGCATTCCAGCCTGGGTGACAGAGCGAGATTCCGTCTCAAAAAAAAAAAAAAAAAAAGAAAAGAAGGTAAGCCTATGTCTCACTAAGCTCCTAAAGCTTCTCCTCTATGGGAGAGCCTAAGAAAAACATTAATCTAAAATTCCTTATCCTTTTTTAAATGTAAAACTGAAACTAATGGATAACATTTATTTTTCTTCATAAGTTATGAGTTAGTTTTCCAGGTGAAAGATAGTTTTCCAGGCTTTGAGGATGGTAGTTTAATGACAGAGATCAAATATATTTATTTAATAAAACTTTTCAAAGCCTTTTGGTTTATGGTACAAAATTTTGCTGAATTATCTATCATGACCAAGAAGAATTTATCTGGGCTGAGAATAAGGAGACTTTTGATTCATTCATTCTTGCATACAGCTATTCAGTAAATATTTATTAAGGGCTAACTATGTCCTAAGCATTGAGAATAGTTAACAAAACAGACACACTCCTTGCACCCAGACATGTTTTGGGGGAAAACAGACAAGTAATCAGAAAAGCAGGGGACTAAAAATAAGGAAACAGGCTGGGCACAGTGGCTTACACCTGTAATCCCAGCACTTTGGGAGGCCAAGGCAGGAGGATCACTGGAGCCCAGGAGTTCAAGACTGGCCTGGGCTACACAGAGAGATCCTGTCTCAAAAAAAAAAAAAAAGTAAAAAGTGAAATTAGGAAACACACAGGAGGCACGATAACCCCATCTTGTTGGGTCAGAGAAGGCTTTCTGGAGACATATTCAGACAGGACGAGTATAAGCCTGGCAAAGAAAGTGAGAGGGAACAGTATGGGCAAAGAGCCAGAGGCATGAGAGAGAAAGCACATTCAAACAACTCTAAGAAATTTAGAGCACTTGACCTTCAATTACAGAGTAAGTGGGAGAGTGTTGAGATGAAGGTGCAAGAAGTTAAGTGGAAGCAAGATCATGAGGACTCTTATAGGCCATGCTAAGACGTTTCTTTTTCATCTTAAGAGTAATGGGTAGCCAATGAAGGTTTTAAATGAATGAAGTCACGTGCTTGGATTTGTGATATATAAAGATCACTCACTGATGAAATGAAAGCTGGAGCTTGAGTAAGTCTGGTGGGAATGGCACAGGTTTTAGACAACAGCAGGCCTTGTAGGTGAGGATAAGGCAGGCGTCATGGGCAGTGCGGTTACAGGAAGTTCCTGCATCTGTACCCTCCCAACTGGAGCATCATTTCAGAGCAACTCGTTAAATGTTTTACACATATGGGTGTATGAAGTCCATCGAGTGCCTTCTGCAAACAGTTTCACTCAGACACTTATCTGTGAGCGTAGGGGCAACAGCAAGATCTAACATTTCCTCATTTGTTTCGGTGCTTATCATGTTCTTAGATATAAAATTATGCTCCTCCCACCATGTGTCAGCTACCAACATGCAACAATGTCAGTTTCAAGACTGAGAAAACAGTCATCCATATTTCCAACCAACAAGACAGAACTTGTAAAGGAAACTTCTCAGCTCACTTGGAACATGTTTTGGAAGATACAAGAAAGGCTGGACTGATGAGGATAGATAAGTAGGTAACTGAGCTACTAAGATTTTAGGTGGGTGCAAAAGTTATTGTGGTTTTGCCATTACTTTTGCACCAACCTACACATTCAGTACTCAAAGGCAAACTTTTCAAAAGGACAGGCTTATCTTGCTTTATGTAGCAGATTTAGTCCAGAAAAATTATGTATAAATCTTTTTTTCAAAAAACTAAATTGTATTTTGAAAACATTTGGGGAGCTTTCCTATTTAAGAAAAATTAATAATTATTTTTAAGAATCAAATAATTGTTATTGTTTTATATATTTCTGTTATTGTTTTATATATTTCTCAAGTGAGACACATCTACACTGGATTGCTTTCTCTTCTTACCAGCTGAGAAACAGGGTGTTCCCTAGTGTCATCTGTCACCTCCTAAAAAGTCCTTGAGTCTCTCAAGAGATGCCTTAACACCAGGATAGATGTTATAGTAAGTGATACACCCCACAAGACGTTCTTTGATTGGAACCCTAGCTTCACTGGACTGGATCAATTGTGAGGCTAAGTATGGCAATATGACTGAATGCCCATCCATGATACTCATTTGCCTTGCTCTTTTTCAGAGATTAGTCTGCAGTGAAGCTATGGCAATGATTATGAAAACAGGAGTTGCCAGGTGGGGCTTCTGGGAAAGGTTTTTAAAACATACAGACTTGTCTGCATGTCCCTTTGGAGTTTTATTCCTTTGCTCTTCTCTTTTCTTCCTAGTCACAAACCTGAAGCGTGGCAGCAACCATCTTATAGCCGTGGGGCAGCCCACATGAGAAAGACAATGAAGTAAAAGATGAAATCAGCTTAGTTTCCTGATAGCATCATCCAGCTGCCTTGTCAGCTCTAGATTGTGTGCTCTAGACGTCTGTTGAGTGAAACAAGGCAATTCCCATACATGATTAAGATTCTATTTGTTGATTTTTTCCATTATTTCCAATCCAATCCAATTTTTTTTTTTTTTTTTTTTTTTGGTGAGACAGAGTGTTGCTCTGTCACCAGGCTGGAGTGCAGTAATGGATCTTGACTCACTGCAGCCTCTGCCTCCCGGGTTCAAGCAGTTCTCCTGCCTCAGCCTCCTGAGTAGCTGGGTCTACAGTCATGCGCCACCATGCCCAGCTAATTTTTGTATTTTTAGTAGAGATGGGGTTTCACCATGTTGGCCAGGATGGTCTTGATTTCTTGACCTCGTGACCCGCCCACCTCGGCCTCCCAAAGTGCTGAGATTATAGGCATGAGCCACCGCGCCTGGCCACCCAACACAATCTTAATACTCTAAATTTCAATTAAAACTTCTCTGAATGTAAGGCACTAAGTTCTGTTGCTACTAACAGTATGTGGGATTCTGTGGTGATTTATTAACATGGACTAGAACTAGCAAGCCAATTCCTCTAAAATGTAAATATATTTAAAGTGACATTTGTATAGCCTCCCTCCTCTGTTGAGCTGCCTGATCTGTGGGAGCTCTGTCAGTACCATAAGACAGCGGGGAAACAAAAACAAAAAGCTGTCCTATACTTCCTGGGCATTCTGGCCGTAATTATTCTCATTTAATTAAGCTTGAATGACCAAGTACTAAAAATGACTGAACCAAGGATGCTAAAGCAAAACCAACACAGTAGCCCAAGGAAAAGTAACTCCCAGAAACATATAAGGACAACGTTCTGTGAACAATTTTAGGCAAATTAAAGTGACACAGTAATAAGCAGTATTAAACCAAAGTGTCCACCATCATCCATCCGGCCAAGGATTGGATAGTTCCCTTTAAGCAAAACATATCGTGTGGGCTGAGCACTGCAATAGCTACAGTGCTTACTCAGAAGCTCAACCTGTCTGGCAGGCTCCAGGGTTCTCAGACTAGCTTTTATGCACATGACCATCAGTCATTTTAGGATATCAAAGACAGAAAATTTATATCTGTGCATGGGTCTGTATTTAGGCATTTAAATGCATACAAACATAGGTAAGTACACATTTCTTTCAAGGAAACATGTAAGTTTAACACATATAAAGATCATTAGATACTTCACTCTAACTCCCACTCCTATATAAAAGCTCTGGCTGCACTAGTTTATTTGAATATAAGAGAATTTTTTACAGGTAAGGAAGCTTTCTAAATTATCATTGACTGTACTACATGTAAGGTCTGCACCTTGGACATTGAACTGAAAATAATGAAGTACCTAGGAAATATCTGTTGCGTTGATGTTCTAATCCCTGTTGCTTCACAGTATGATTCTAATTTACACTGACAGAAACTGAGTTACAGAGAGGTGGGACACCTTTCATGAGTCACCAGAAGGGCTAGAAGAGTTTGGGATGCTGAAATCCAGAGTTGTGTGGATTATTTTTTTAATCTGAACTATTCAAATTATCTGTTTATATTGATCAAAATTGGCCATAGAATCTCCAAATCCTCAAGTTCATATTATGACAAATAGGCAGTCTTCTCTAGAAAACTAAACTGCCTCTTTTATAGACAGGGGTATTTTTAGAATTATCAGTAACAAATCCAAGTTAATACAGCGTATGTGAACTCAAAAACATGAACGAGGGCTCCAGCTGGTTTACTTGTTTATTCAAAAACATTTACTCAATATCTATAATATTCATAAACATCACCTAGTTTAAAAAATCAAAAATTTCTCTTGCAAAGTGGAGAAACTAAAACAAGAAAAAAATTTTAAAAACTAAAGAAAAAAAACAAAAACTCCAATCCTCTAGGTCCTGTGGGGGTGAGGAGGGCCCAAGTATGAATATTAACAACAACCAAATGATTCTGTCATTGCCAGGAGGACCTGGGGACCTCACTTTAAGAAACACTGGTCTAGACAGTTCTAGATGCTGGTGACACAAACCTCAAATTGCTCATCATCTAGTGAGATAGACAAGTAAACAAAAATCTATAATGCACTCTAAATATTCAGAATGGTATGAAGAGGATAGGGGAAAAAAATAAAGAGAAGGACAGAAATTCTCTTGCTGAAATGGCCAGTTTTTAAGGCATGCCAGAATGGCCAGAAAAGAATGGGGGAAGAGGTGCTTCTGCAGGAGGAAAGCTGGACACAACCACTCAGTGGGGTGGGGTGCAGGTTGAAGGACCTGGACTCCTGGGCTACAGGAGTCAGAAATGAGGGTGGAGAATTAAGATAAGCTTGTATCTTGAATGACTTTTATGCTCGAATGGGGCTAGTTTGAACTTTATCCTGAAAATACAGGAAGCCATGAAGGGTTTTAAGTAAGGGAGGAGGAGCGTGCTGAGATTAAATTTGTAGAAAGCCCGCTTGGCAGTGGCAATGTGAAGGGCAGATGGGAGGGGTATGAGTAACCTGATAGAGACAGTGGCCAGGTAACTGCAGTTTTCCTCAAGAGAAGATGCTTAAGGTGGTAGAAGCAGAGAGATGGATGGCTCTGAAAGATGGTAACCCAAAATACAGTAATTATTCCATATATTTATTGAAATAAATTCAACAGAAGAGATAGAACAGAGAGGTCTTGGCAGCTGATTTAATATGGGGAGAGAGGCAAAAGAGAGGGTAAGGGATGATTTGTGGGTGGTCAGTGTTAGTTTGATGGGGAGTCAAGAAGAAGTGGCCTTTTAGAGGCTAGGTGCGTTGGCTCATGCCTGTAAACCCAGCACTTTGGGAGGCCGAGGTAGACAGATCACTTGAGGTCAGGAGTTCAAGACCAGCCTGGCCAACATGGTGAAACCCCCAAAAATACAAAAATTCAAAAAATACAAAAAAAAATTAGCTGAGTGTGGTCGTGTGTGGCTGTAATCCCAGCTACTTGGGAGGCTGAGGCAGGAAGATCACTTGAACCCAGGATGTGGAGGTTGCAGTGAGCTGAGATCAAACCACTGCACTCCAGCCTAGGCAGTACAGCAAGACTGTCTTTAAAAAAAAAAAGAAGTGGCATTTTAGTGTTTACTAGTAGAGATAGTTAATAGCAATATAGGACTTACTCCCAGAGATGGAAAGAAATCTACAGGGTGTGGGACATAGAAATATCAGGGCTAAAGATATCTATTTGGAAGTCATCCATGTCTGGGTGGTGGTGGTTGAAGTCATGGACACGAATGAGATCATCCAAGGGGAATATCGAAGGTCAATACAGAACCTAATGGGAAGGGCGGGGAGCATCATCACTTACAGAGAAGGTGGAAGAGAAGCAAAGAAGATTAAGAAGACACATTCAAGAGGAAAGAAGAAAATTAAGGAGTGTCATGGGTCAGGGGTAGAGAAAAGAGAGGAAGTTAAGTGTCACAGAGCAAATCAAGTCAGATAAGGACTGATAAGAAGAGTGTTCTATTGTAACCCACAGACACAATCAGGGCCTAATGAGTCTGTGAATGGATCATTCATTTCTCCAACAAATATTTACTGAAGTTCCTGCATGCCAGGTGTTAGGCAAATAAACCTCAAACCTCAAGGACAGCCTCATCCTACTGTGAAAGCATAGCGAAAGCATGTTGCATTTCCTTACAAATGTTACACTGTGTATTAATAAAAGCTGTGAACTATGGCTTACTTAACACTGACACTGCACTTGGGCAAATGGG